>NC_000015.10:86592793-86744308 GCF_000001405.40 Homo sapiens | reverse complement strand
ACAATGCAAAGACATGGCAGAATATATAAATATGCAAAGCGGGCTCGTCAGCTAGCATCCTTAGTTTCCATTTCCACTTTTATTTCCAAAGCTAATTATTCCTGTCAATAGGAAGTCCTGCCTTAACTAAGGTGGCAGGAAACCGTTAGTCATTGGAAATGTTTGTGTTTTAAACTAGAGTTGAATCTCCCATTTCATTCATTTCTCAGCAAGAATCTGGTCTCAGCTAACATTTGGAAGGGTGGATGCATATGTATCTGTATCCCTTGAAAGTAAATATATATATTTAAATAAGATGGCATTGTTCTAAAAAATATTTTCCCAGAAAATTATGATTTATTTTACTTCTAAGTTATCTTTTCCTAACTTACCCATATCAACTTGTCTTTTCTTTTTGTCAAAAATAAAGATTGTGTGTAGACGTGTGTGTGTTGCGGGGGATGGGGGTGTGTGATCAGATACACTGGAAAGGCCATATTAGGTAGTTAAAGCTAGAACTGGTTAGACTAGGGCAGTCAACATTTCCAACTCATAACCTTTCCAATATTGCTATAAGGTCATTCAGAAGCTCTCAGATATTTTTCAGGGATCATCCGCATCAGAATCCCCTTGGGGTCTTCTTTAGAATACAGATTTCTTGGGCCTACATTAGCCCTCCAGAACCAGCCATTTGGAAAGTGAAACCTGGGAATCTGCACTTTAAAAGCACACTCCTCTAATGGAGGTCCATTGGGTTATTCAGGTAAGAACGCTCCCCAGTGTATGTAAGTGAAGATCCCACATGCACTATGGCCACAACCTTCATCTCACAACCCGACACCAGGGGACGCTCTCTTGCCAGAAGCTCAGCCTACTAAGAGGGGAAAAACAGCCCAGGTGGTTCTGAGAAGCTGTAAGGATGAAAATAGGATGAAGTGGATTTGAAAGATGTTCCCCAGAACCTAGGGGAGTGACAGATTTGATGATAACATTTAACCCCCTTAGGCTCCCCTAGAGTTTCAGTCAGAGAGATATTCTTCCTTCCTTCCATTATAACAAATGTTGGGTCAAAAATAATCGCAAAGTCAATAGCCCACTTAAGTAGATGAATTTTAAGATACGTAAATTACACCTTAATAAAACTATCGAAATAAATAATTTAAAAAAATACTTTTTAAAGAAAAATATAACTTGGGTGTCTTGAGGAGCTATATGTTCAAGTCTTTAACATTGCTGTGACCACGCTCCTTGGGAGTCTTCAAAATGCATCCATTCATCCAGCTTACAATTATTGAGCCCTGCTTTCATCTAGGTGCTACAAAACAAAATACAAATTTTTTGAATAAATTATATATGATACTATTACCCCCACAGCGTCCACAGAATTTATCCATATAACAAGCATTGAAGTATGTTGATTTTCAGTTTGGTTTTCTCATTATTTGCTGAACTAAGCTACCTGTAGGCTTCTGATTCTTTCCAATGCAGAATTTAATTTAGTGACTAACAGACCAAAGCAGAGAGAGCAGCAGGGACTGTTTATTCTGCATAAGGAGACTTGTATTTACCCAGATTCTATCAGAGGAATGAATAGAGCACTGAAGGAAAGAGGTTCTTTTCTGACACTGCTAATGGCAATATTATCAGAGTCCAAGTCCCTCTCTGTGGCAAAATGGGCAAATCCTTGGGAAAGCCACAGCCCTGAGACTGGCCTACGGGGAGGTAACTTGGAGAGGCAGAGGCAATAGGCAGAACATAGGGACAAACAGAAGATGAGGGTAGGTGCTTCTTTTTCCTTCCCTGCATCCCATAATCTGATCTCGTGATACTTCAAGCCCATGGGAACAACAAGCTAAAGAAAGCCTCATTGGTAAATAAGGATAAGGTCAGATTAACAGAGAAACAACTTTTGGCTTTTGCCAAAGTGTGGGTAAAGAAGAGTTTAGTCACTTCTGTCATATATTTCTTGACAAAGGGACTCGACAAAAGCAGAGGGCATTGTTTCATCTGTAACTAATTTTAATCAATCTTCCTCTACAAAATGTCTGGAAAAGCCATGCCGTCTGATTCCATTTGTAGGGGCTCATAAAAAGTACAAAAAGGAAATCCTCTAGGAAAGAAGCTGTGACACAATTGGTCCTTTGCAGTCTGGGTCACGTTTCTTTATGTATGCCCAATAAAAAGAATAGCCATGTCATCAGTGAGTATAGATGGCTCAATGCCTCACTGCTGGTTCAGAGTCACTGCCGGCCTCTCAACCCTCCTCTCCACACAAAAAAGCTTACCCTTCCCTTTCATCATCTTTAGCGTGGCATGGGTTTTAAGCCACTCATAGTTTAAAAAAAAAAAAAACTCCAGTGGATAAAGAGAATTAATATGGACCTAGATCTGAAGAGGAATAGAGAAAAACTGAAATTAACATTTATAAAACATCTACCATATACCAGACACTATCCTAGGCACACTGTATGAATTCTTAAAATAACTCTTAAATGTAAGCATTGTCCTTTTGTTTTGCAGATTGAATAACTAAAACAAGGAGAGGTTAAAAAAAAAATGTCTGCTAGCAAATATTAAAGCTAAATTAGAAACTGGAGCCAAGGATCTTTTTCATCAAGCTGTGGTGTTTCAAAATTCAGTAAGGGACTAAATTCTTTTCCTGAAGGTCAATTAGAACAGTGTATAGAGTTCCTTTCTCATTGCTGTTTGATTGCCTCCTGATCTAAATTTCAAGAGACTTCATCAACATGCAGAACTATGATGTCTTATAGTTCAAGACTTCAACATTGTCCCCACCATAATGGTCAAAATCCATTATCCTATTTATTTACATTATCAGTGCTTATTTTCTTTCTAATCATTCATCATTTCCTTGAATTTCAAAGCCATGCTTCATCTGGTTGAATTCTTTTTTTTTTTTTTTTTTTTTTTTTTTTTTTTTTTTTTTTGCTTTGCCTTAGACCACTGTTCACTTGGGCTAGGAAATTCTCTTTACAGGCTCAGTGTTTCTGCCCCTCATTTTCTGTAACCTGATGTGACACTTTGCACCAGCAGTATTGTTTGTCTTCCTTGTTGAGGAACCTTTTCCTGCTAATATAAACAGTCCTGCCTGTAGCCCTTGGAACGAAAAGTCCTCTGTACTATGTGACCCTACCCTTGGGCATAGCTGACAAACCACAGTGGTCCCCTAACTTGTGAGGATGCAATCAAAAGACTGGCTAGTAGCAAATGATGTGTAGTGTTCTGCCCACATAGAGGAGTTTTACCATTCAGAGGCTGGAGCTGCCATTTGAGTGTGCTCCCAGGCAAAATAAAGAGTAAGCAGTCGTTCTTCCATGTGTCCTCTGAGAGAGAGGAGGTTGAGCAGGTATACTTGAGGATCTATAGTCAACTGTGTATCCTCTGAGGGATGGAGGGGATCTCACCTCTGGATCCTGCGGCATTCCAGTTATCAATTTCTATTCACCTAAAATTTGGCTGTATTTTCTTTCCTAACTGGAATTCACAAAATACCTTATCATTGTATTAAAACTTGATTTTTACTTGGGATACCTTACATCATTTCCTTATCTTTGCCAGTAAAAAGATCCTGAATAGAACACCTTCTTTTTCTTGATCTGTCCAACACTCATTCATCTGTCTACCCAGCTCCCCATGAAGCCATTTCTGAACGGATGTAATCACACTGTCTACTAATCTTCTACAAGCACTTATAAATTGTGTGCCATAATCATCACTCAACTTCACACTGACTGTTTTCTATTTCAGTCTTATGTCCCCAATTAGACAGCAATCTCCTTAAAATCAGGGACAATTTTGGATCATCTTGAATCTACTCGCATGTTAGCAGAACTCCCAATTTTACTCCTTCCCTCAGATCTTCAGACTAAAAGAACACAAGAGTGTGGGGCATACCTGGCAACAATTTTATGTCAAGAATCTTAGAACTTTCTGGGTGGGCAAGCTGGAGCAAAAAATGTTAACCTCTTCAATTTATATATACAGAGGTTCAGAGCAGTTAATGGTTACCTAGTTAATGAAATTCAGCATGAGCTCCCATGTCTGAAAGGTCTGGGGCAATCCCAGTATGGGGATGCTAGGGAAACAATTTTCTTCTTTATACTTTACAACAAAAGAGACAAAACTGTCCAACTCTTCCCTGATAGAAGACTGAGCTGTAGTGAATGAAATGTACTTGCTGGGCTTCTATTCTTTAAATTACTAAGGCTCTAGCCAAGTCACTTTTATGCTTTAAAAAAAAATGTATTGCCTCTTTAAAGTGAGGTTATTTTTATAGCTTTAGAACTCCTGGAACAGTAAACAGGAGGCAAATGTATCAGGCTTTAAAGGTGAAAGGGGTTATTTAAGAGTGTTATCGAACTAGCCAGCTGCAGCATCAGAAAACCATAAACATTTCTCTTCATAGCAGGGCTCAGTGATTCATTAGGCCACCCTTCTGGAGAGGGAGGGTCTTTATAAACTTAGTGTCACAAAACCCTGGAGGTATCCAGTCCTCTCTGCCATCCTGCTGTTTAAGGAGTGAAAATTATCTTTGCATCCTCCCTTGTTTCCAGTGCATTAGGGTTTTGAAAGGGACAATGATAAAAGTAATAATGATAGTTGCTGCCATTTCCTGTACTTTCCAAGTGCCAAGGTAAGTCTGTTATTCTAAGGGTGGATAGATTATTTATGGGAGCTGGTACAGTAAGTTAGTTGGCAGAGGTGGGATTTGAACCCAGGTCTTTTGAAGATTGCAAATCATGGTTTTCACCTGTTACTCTCACATGTCTAATTTCTTGCTCCCCCCGAAAAAAAAAAAATGAATCTTGATGGATCCTGTGAAAAATTTTTTTTTCTCTTTTACTTTTTTTTTTTTTTTTTTTTTTGAGATGGAGTTTCGCTCTTGTTGCCCAGGCTGGAGTGCAATGGCACGATCTTGGCTCACCACAACTTCCACCTCCTGGGTTCAAGCGATTCTCCTGCCTCAGCCTCTTGAGTAGCTGGGATTACAGGCATGTGCCACCAAGCCCGGCTAATTTTGTATTTTTAATAGAGACAAGGTTTTTCCATGTTTGTCAGGCTGGTCTCAAACTCCTGACCCCAGGTGATCTGCCTGCCTTGGCCTCCCAAAGTGCTGGGATTACAGGCATGAGCCACCGCACCTAGCCTATTTGTTCATTTTTGAAACAGGGTCTTGCTTCTGTCACCCAGACTGGAATGCAGTGGTGTGATCATGGCTCACTGCAGCATCAACCTCCCAGGCTCAAGCAATTCTCCTGCCTTAGCCTCCTGAGTAGCTGTGACTACAAGCATGCACCACCATGCCCAGCTAATTTTTTTATTTTTATTTTTTTTTTAGAGATGAGGTCTCATTTTGTTTCCTAGGCTGGTCTCAAACTTCTGGGCTCAACGATCCTCCTGCCTTGGACTCCCAAACTGTTGAGATTACAGGCGTGAGCCACCAAGCCTGGCTGGGATATTTTTTTAAGTATGTAGAAGTGGCTTCATGGTCAAATTATCTTCCCCCACACAACTTCTATCTTTTGGAGCCTTATAATGCACTCTAGCATATTAAAGACTTCTTAGGCCTGCAATAGAGATATTTATGTTTCTTGTATAACTTAGATTTCCCAAATTCATTTGACTTCAGAACCCCATTTCATGTCACATGAGACAATATTCTATTGCCAGAATATTGGCAATAATGCATAATGGACAATAATGCGTAACGGATGAAGAGAGTCAGAAAAACCCATGTAGTTAAAAATGGGACCTTTGTATGTAAATCTGTATTTTGCCAGTTTACTGAATTTGTTTACCATTTCTAAGAGTTTTTGGTGGCATCTTTAAGTTTTTCTATATATGAGATGATGTATTTGCAAGAGGGACAATTTGACTTCTTTTTTTTTCCAATTTGGATGCCTTTTATTTTTTTCTCTTGCCTGATTGCTATGGCTGGCATTTCCAGTACTGCGTTGAACAGGAGTGGTGAGAGTGGGCATCCTTGTCTTGTTCTAGTTCTAGAGGAAGTGCTTTCAATTTTTTCTCATTCAAGTATGATGTTAGCTGTGTAATTGTCACATAGGACCTTTATTAAGTTGAGGTATATTCCTTCTATGCTTAAATTATTAAGAGCTTTTATTATGAAGCGGTGTTGAATTTTATCAAACTGATAAATGAATTTAGTAAACTTGCAAGATACAAAATTAACATATAAAGATCCCATATTTTTATCTCAATAGACACAGAAAGGATTTTTTTCTGTGTTCTGTAGAGATGAACATATGGTTTTGGTCCTTCATTCTGTTGATGTGATATATCACATTTATTTATCTGTGTATGTTGAACCTTCCTTGCATCCCTGGGATAGATACTAGTTGATTATGTTGTATTAACTTTTTTGATATGTTATTTGATTTGATTTGATAGCATTTTGTTGGGGATTTTTGCATCTATGTTTATCAGAAAAAGTTAATTTCATGAAGCCCATTTACATTTTAAAATACTGCACATTTACACCAAATGCTTTTGACAAATGTTTTCATTAATAATAAAGTGAAATGTGATCTTGAAATTAAAAGGGGTCACATTTTCCCTTATGGAATATTATAAAAGGAGCAGAGCAGCAGTATGTGGGATCTTTACCATTGAAACCCCACCTAATAATGCTCAGCTGTGCTCATTCTCCCAGATGTCATTCTCCCTGAAACATACCCTACGTAGGAGGAAATCAAGGCTCAGCTCATACTACACAATGTGGTTATAGCAGGAAGAACTTGGCTCCTGACTCTGGCTCATACTCTCACAAGCCGAGATATCATAGGCACTTTGTTAGGCTTTTGAAACCTCCATTTTCTTGTCTGTGAAATGGTGATTTAAAAGAAAACGAAACAAACTTCACTTTGTAGAGATGTTGTGATAACCAGAAATAATGTGTCTTAAGACACCTGGAATAAATCACCATTGTTATGGCTCTCATTGAACAAGGAATATCACCTTTGCCTGGAAATTGCATCAGCTGTTTCTCTCCTCAGCAAAATCCTTTCACCTGATCAGGCCCAGCTCAGATATCACCTCCTCCGTGAAATTTTCCAGGCCCTACTACTTCCCCAGCAACCTTCCAGCTCCCTTCCCCCAGTCACTGAAAACATGCCTTGTCTTCCATTCCTGCACCATTCAGCACCTTGCTTCAATAATATTCTGTATGTTTTTGTCTTCTCTATCAGCAATTTGAAGACAAGGTATGTGTCACAAACACAGTGTCTTCTACACATAGCATTCAGCACAGTACAGGGCATATAAATGCCAGAAAATATTGTCAGGAAAAAGACATAAGGGGGATTGTTACAAGCTAGGATCTTTGCCTCCAGAGAACTTGACTTCTAAGAAGCAAATACACATACCAGAAATTACCAATGATCAAACATAATACGTGAGGATTCCAAATGCATGATACTTTCTTGACCTAGGAGTTTAGAGAGAAAAAAATAAGAGGCTGAAGGGAGCTAAAAATGTTCAAAGGGTACCCTCATAAGCATGTCTAAAAGCCAGGTATTAATGTCGCAGGCCTGTTTATACTTCCAGCATGCATACTTATGTCCTTATCCCCATGGAGACTATGCCCAATTTTACATGAATATTAAAAGGGATGATGGATGAAGCGGTGTAGTTTACGGCTAGTGGAAGAGCCAAATTGTTTCACAATATGAAAAAGGGTATTTGCTGTGACATTACATGAGAATAGCCTTGAATGCCAGTGACATCACTTATAGCCTTGGTGGCCTTGGGCAAGCTACAGAAGTTCTCTACGTCTGTTTCCCTATCTGTAAAAAATTGATCATGGAGCCCACTCATAAAGTTGTTATGTGAATTAAATGGGAGATGCTATATAGAAGTGCACTAGGCAGAGTATCTAGCATAATATAGGTGCTAAATAATTTTTTTTTTTTTGAGACAGAGTTTCACTCTGTCACCCAGGCTGGAGTGCAGTGGCACGATCTCAGCTCACTGCAACCTCCGCCTCCCGGGTTCAAGCCATTCTCCTGCCTCAGCCTCCTGAGTAGCTGGGCTTACAGGCATGCACCACCGCACCCAGCTAATTTTTGTATTTTTAGTAGAGATGGGTTTCACCATATTGGACAGGATGGTCTTGATGTCCTGACCTCGTGATCTGCCCACCTCGGCCTCTCAAAGTGCTGGAATTATAGGCGAGAGTCACCATGCCTGGCCCAATAAACTTTATTTATTCATAATATTTATCTCCTTTGCAATGCTGAGCTCTTTGAGGTCATAGACCTTGCTGCAGTAAACTTGGTATCCTCATTGTCAAGCACCACACCAAGCATGTGCTGGCACCTCCATAAATATTTGCTGTACAATTAAAATGAATAAGCAATGAGAATCAAGAGCAAAGTGAGCATAAAAGTCGTATCTCATTTCTACTTTATTGAAATTCTAGCAGCCACACCTGTGAGGTACGGCACCCCTGCTACTGTTTACAGAGCGCTTGCTACATGCCAGGCCATGAGTCACGCCTATGTACATTTTAAAATATAGCACACTTGTGCCAAGCAATTTTATTCATTTTTAAAAATTTACCTTCATTTGACAAAATAAGATATTTGAAAGAGACCCAGAGAGACAGTATGCAGACAAATAAAATATATATATATATCTCTCTTTGTAGCAGGAAATACACACACACACACACACACACACACACACACAGTCTGTATCTCTATATCAAAAGAGACAATAGAAGGTAGTAGTAAAATGTGCAATAGTTGGAGGAAGACAGGAGATTTGATTTATAGATAGATAGATAGATAGATGTTCTAATGATCTTCAATATATATGTGTGCATTTTCCTTTGAAATCTGCCCACTCAGCATTAATGTGTGTGTGTTTTTAAGTTGTGTGTGTGTAATGGCTTTAATCTAATTATAAGCCAGCTGGGTGCCATGCCTCATGCCTGTAATCCCAGCACTTTGGGAGGCTGAGGTGGGTGGATCACCTGAGGTCAGGAGTTCAAAACCATCCTGACCGACATGG
Organism: Homo sapiens; assembly: GCF_000001405.40. NCBI lineage: Eukaryota > Metazoa > Chordata > Mammalia > Primates > Hominidae > Homo > Homo sapiens. Next base: position 86,735,278 of record NC_000015.10, on the reverse strand, counting down.
TGAAACCCCATTTCTACTAAATACAAAAAATTAGCTGGGCACGGTGTCGGGTGCCTGTAATCCCAGATGCTTGGGAAGTTGAGGCAGGAGAATCTCTGAAACCCAGGAGGCGGAGGTTGTAGTGAGCCAAGATCGCGCCACTGCACTCCAGCCTACGTGACAAGAGTGGAACTCCGTCTTAAATAATAATAATAATTATTATTATAACTATATGCCAAGAAACAACATCTTTATTTCACACTGAGTATGATGCCTATGAACATATCAAGGTATGAGCACAAAAGAAAATAGAAAACTGGATGGAAACACATCCTGAATCTGGGGCATGTATATGTGTTTGTGGGAGGGAACTATGGTTTCCCTCCTGTTCCCTTATTGTTCCCTCACAATTCTACAACATATTCCCCATCAGCTCACTCAGGGAACAGTGGCAGAAATGTAAGGAAAGGCTTGCTCTTTTATCTTCTTTTTGGTTTGTCTACAGAGAACCAACCTAAGAACCACAAAAAACTAAAGAGGCTGCCAGTGGGAAGGAGTCATCTGGCCTCATCATGGAAAGAGCCAGTGTTGTCTCCTCCTCATTTTTCCTGATGTCACTTCATTGCTTTGTCGCAATAGAGAAGTATAGGAACCACCAGTGACAATGACTCCACAGCATAGGAGTTGGCCGGCTGTGGCTCTGAGCAGGTAGGAGAACCAGCATGAAGGATGTATGCCCATTTCTACCTAGCTTTCCTTCAGCACTCATCTCTCACCTCTTGCAGACCTGAGGCACAGCCCACACCTCTCCTTACTCTCTTAAATCTCTTTATTCATCACCTCCCTTCATATAACAGTTCTTAGTCTCTACATCTTTTCCAAGTGAAGATCTCCTTGTCACTCCCTGCTATCAAGTTCATGAAACCTGTCATGCCATACTTCTTCCTATAATTGAATTATTATTTCATTACCACTCTAGCCATTTTTCTTATTGGAATACCCCACTCAGGGTTATATTACACAGAAATATATACTTTAGAGTCACACAAGCCTGGTTTTCAATCTTGACTCTACTTCTAGGTCACAATGTGACCTTGAACAACTTTCATAACATTTAAGAACGTAAGTGCCTTGGGTCAAAACAGATATGGCTGTATGTCCTAGGGTTGCTTATAGCCTGATCATTTGAAAAGAAAACATATGCAAACTGCCTAGAACAGGGTCCAGTACAAAGAACGGTTTCAATAAAGGTCACTCCCCTTCTCATGAGGGTATCAGAGGGGATCAAATTTAACCTGTATAAGGGGTCACTGGAGATGTCATAGACCTAGAGAAGGGAGGAGGAGTTTACTTACAGAATGGTGAGAAGGACTGTGTAGTCTCATCAGCAGTAAGTGTATGAAGGCAGAGTGTTCTGGGTGTATACGACCCATGCAAAGGGACTTTACCCTTCCCAAAGAAGTTCCCATAAAGGATAAAGACACTTTTAACCAGGATAAAATACTACATTTGCCAATTCCTGTTTATGAGATCCTGGGAGAAGATCTTTGAATTTTCTGAGCCTCACTTTTCTTTATAAATGGCTAATGATAGCTCCTCATAAGATTGTTACGAGCACATATAGAATGATTAGTACCATGACTTCTACATAGTAAACAGTCAATGCATGTTAGTGATATTTAAATACAACAACAACAACAAACCACTGGGAATAATAGTAGTTAATGCTTATATTATAGTTACTAAGTGCCAGGTCCCATCCCAAGCAGTGATTAAATATTCTCATCTGGGACAGTTAATTTTATGTGTCAACTTAACTGAGCTAAGGGATGCTCAGATAGCTGGTAAAGCATTATTTCTGGGTGTCTGTGTTTCTGGATGAGAACAGCATTTGAATGATTAGACTGAGTAAAAAAGATTGCTCTCATCTTCACAGTGGTTGGCCATCATACAATCTGTTGAGGGCCTGGATAGAACAAAAAGGAAGAGGAAGAGAAAACTTTTTATCACACTCTCTGTTTTTGGGTCTTCAGATTCTGTGCAGGAGCAAGCTCTACCCCCACCCCTTATCCCCAGTTCTCAGGCTTTTGGACACAGACTGCACTATACCATTGGCTTTTTGGTTCTCCAACTTGCAGATGGCAGACCTTGAGACTTCTTGGATACCATAATTGTGTGAGTCAATTCCCATGATAAATCCCTATGTATAAGATATATATATTTATATATAATATGATTTATATAGGATATATACGGGATATACATGTATATAGTATTAATATATAGAGATATTATATATAAGATATATAGCCATCTCCTGTATGTATGTATATGTATATGTGTGTATATATTTCTCTCTATATATATATCTACAAATCTATCTATATATATATTTGTAGATTTATCTATAGCTATATATCTATCTATATATATCTTATTGGTTCTGTTTCTCTAGAGAACCCTAATATATCTTCTAATGCTCAGAGATGAGGATATGAGACAGATGCTATCATTATTCCTATTTTAAGATAAAGAAACTGACAGATACATACCTGGCTTACCTAAGTCACACAGCTAATATATGGCACAGTCTAGAATCAAATCCTCAATTCCAAGCAGTCTAGTCTTAGAGTCTGTATAGTGAATACTATATTGCCTTCAAAATGAGGAAAAGTGAACTCCTTGTTACTTACCCCATATTCAAGAACTTAATTTTCAAAAGAGTACTATCTTTCTTAATCTCCACATTTCAAATCAATCGTGGTTCTTAACTACAAGGAACTAAAACCAAATCTGCCTAATTTAGAAATGCATAGAAAGAATATTAGGGAGCTCACAAAATAAACAGAAAATCTGGAAAACAAGGATGAGAAAAAAAGGCATTGACAAGGGCAGCTACATAGTTACAAACAGTTGTAAAATCACATCACAAGAAATTTCAATTTCCAGCTGTGGTGGAGTAGATTATATGAGATCAACCTATTACTAATAAAACCTATAACGCTGGAAAACATCACATAAACAAATATACATGCATACACATGCACTATCATTTGAATAAATGAAATTATTATTTTTTCAGACCACTAAGGTATAAAAGAATAAATTAAGTTTATTTATTAGTCTCTAGAGCCCTACTGCCTGCATTCAAAATGTTGCTCTGCTATTTACTGTCCGCAAATTCTTGTGCAAGGCAATTAATCTTGCTGTGCCTCAGTAGCTGCCTCTGTAAAATGGGGATAACAGTAACATCTGCCTCATAAGACTGTTAAGTAAACCTTCCTCTCAATCTTCATGTGATAACCAGACAAAGCAGAGTGACTGCAGATCAGTGCCCTTGAGGAATGCCACGTGAGTAAATGCAGAAAGAAGAAGATGGTCCTTAAAGAACTGAGTTTTTATTTTGTTCAGAATCAACGGTCAAGCCAGTTCCCTGGGGCACATTTCAGAGGCTTACTACCCCTCAAGACACCCCAGTTTCTGGCTTCCAAAGCTGCTGCCTTACACATAAGCAAGCTTTACTTCAAGACATCTGTAAAAATGCAAGCTACTCTGTTATCTTAGGTCAGTGACTTACTCTGCAACTTGAAAGTCAGTCTGGTTGGTGGAGAAAATTCTAGGTGAAAATGATAGCTTCTTCCTCTCTCTATCTTTGTATCTTGTTGGCTTTCAAGTCTCATCTGCCAGCATTACAGAAGTGGGAAAGAAAACCAACAAGATTTCCTTCCTAGCTTTGCAGGATCAGATAGAATCCCAGAAGAACAAAGCTGGAGACTTTGCTGCTTGGCAAATCATCACCTGAACCGTCAGCTAAAATCCCACTGCAGAATATTTATTGTTGGTGACAATATAAAAAGCAGAAAGATCGCAGCACAATTTGGAGATCCCTGGTGACATTTTCTATTTTCAACAATGGTGGAGAATCTCTAGTCTTAGGATCTGAGAATGTTGGATGTGCATATGAGAGTAAGAGAATCAGACTGTGTCCCCCATGAAGTTAGTCTCGAGAGACTTTCAGGTACGTGAGACTTCTTTCTAGGATGGTCAATGTAAAAAACAAAAAATCAACTGAACCTACTATCATTCCAGAAAGGCTATGAACATAATTCAATAGTTTGGACATAATTCATGTCTTTTCTCTTTTTGACCCCTGATTTGTTTATATATAAGGCCGGGTGCAGTGGCTTACACCTGTAATCCCAGCACTTTGGGAGGCCAAGACGGGCGGATCACCTGAGGTCAGGAGTTTGAGACCAGCCTGGCCAACACAGTGAAACCATGTCTCTATTAAAAATATAAAAAAAATTAGCTTGGCATGGTGGCATATGCCTGTAATCCCAGCTACTCGGGAGACTGAGGCAAGAGAATCACTTGAACCCACGAGGCCGAGGTTTCAGTGAGCCGAGATCATGCCACTGCACTCCAGCCTGGGCAACAGAGTGGGACTCCATCTCAAAATAAATAAATAAATAAAATAAAATAAAATAGGTACAAATCTGAAGTTTTTGCTTTTGCATGGAATTTGTAATTATACACTCTGAAATTTGTGTTCTCTTTACCACTTGTAAAGTCCATTCCCATGCATTCTTATTTTTTTCCAAGCAGTTTGTAATAACTATCATTATTGCCAGATGACAAATGAAGAATTTCATGTCCAGAAACATGGGGACACATAGTCAAGGCTACCAGGAAAGCAAATGGCAGCCCATGCACTTAACTGTGGAAACACTAATAGCAAGAGACCCTACATTGTATCTGAATAAGCCTGGGATGATGGAAGAAAGAAAAAAAACCCACGGACCTAAAATAAAATGTTCTAAAGTTTAAGAGTGATTAAAAAGTAAATATGTCATGTCCTTTGCCCATGTTTAATGGAGTTGCTAGTTTTTTGCTTGTTTGATTATTTAAGTTTCTTATAGATTCTGGATATTAGATCTTTGTTGGTTGTATGGTTTGCAAATATTTTCTCCCATTCTGTCTGTTGACTCTGTTGATAGTTTCTCTTGCTATGCAGAGGCTCTTTAGTTTAATTAGGTCCCACTTGTCAATTTTTGTTTTTGTTGCAATTGCTTTTGAAGACTTGGTCATAAATTTTTTGCCAAGGCCAATGTCCAGGTTTTCTTATAAGATTTCATAATTCGAGATCTTACATTTAAATCTTTAATTCATCTTGATTTAACTTTTGTATATAATGGAAGAGTCCAGTTTCAATCTTAGGCACTTCTCAAAAGAAGACATACATGCAGCCAACAAATACATGAAAAAATGTTCAACATTGCTAATTAGAGAAATGCAAATCAAAACCACAATGAGGTACCATCTCACACTAGTCAGAATGACTATTACTTTAAAGTCAAAAAAATAACAGATGTTGCTGAGGTTGTGGAGAAAAGAGAATGCTTATATACTGCCGGTGGGAATGTAAATTAGTTGAGGCATTGTGGAAAGCAGTGTGATTTCTCTAAGAATGTAAAACAGAGCTACCATTTGACCCAGCAATCCCATTACTGAGTATATACCCAAAGGAAAATAAATCATTCTATCAAAAGGACACATGCACTCATATGTTCATTGCAGCACTGTTCACAATAGCAAAGATATGGAGTCAACCTAGATGCTCAACAGTGGGCTGGACAGACAAAATGCGGTACATATGCACCAGGGAATACTATGCAGCCATAAAAAAGAACAAAGTCATGTCCACTGCAGCAATATGGATACAGCTGGAGGCCATTATCCTAAGCAAATTAATACAGGAACAGAAAACAAAATACTGCATGTTCTCCCTCATAAGCAGGAGCTAAACACTGAGTAAACATGGGCATTAAGATGGCAACGGTAGACACTGGGGACTACTAAAGTGGGGAAAGCAGGGTAGGTTGAAAAACTACCCATTGGGTACTATGCTCACTACCTGAGTGACAGGATCATTCTTACACCAAACCTCAGTGACACACAATTTATACACATAACAAACCTGCATGTGTGCCTCCTGACCCTAAAATAAAGAGCCAAAGAAACAAAGAAAAAGCGAAGATTTCAGAAAATAGTTAATCATTTGAGCTATTTTTCAGTTAAAACCTAACATTAATAGTGGCTTGTTTGAAAATCACTATTGTTCTCTTTATCTATTTAGAATACTCTAGAGACCTGGCAAGACAGAGAGCTCAATTCCCAGAAACTTGCCAGAAATTGGTTACAGGCCTAGGAGACTCTATTGGAGGGAGCTTAGATAAATGTTAACAGGTCATAAACACTAAAAACTGTAGAGTTTTGTTGCATTTATTTATTTATCCAATGAATATCAATTGGGTTTCTACAAACTAAATGTACTGAACTCTGTAGATACATCAGAGAATAAAACACACAAAATCCCTGCCCATGTGAATGGCTTCACAAGTCCATTTCCTAGTGCAAACTAAATCTGGATGTGCAGGTTAGATTCATCTGGAAAATGGGTGGAATGGGCCCATTTTATCTATATTTTAACACAGTGAAACCAGAGGCTACAGCAAGTAAAGAGAAACCTGGAATTCTATCCCCTTGATAACTCCAGACACAAAATTTTAAAAGATGTGAACAAAAAAAAGAAAAGAAAAAGAAAAACCCTCAGTAGTCAAGACAAATAATGTCTTAATGTAGTATTTTAAAAAACAAAACTTAATGCAAAACAATTCATGATGAGCATAATATCAGAATTCTAAATAAAGGCAAGGTTTTTTTATTTAGCCCCAGGCTTCAGTATGGCTCCACAAGGCTCTGAGTAAAAAGGCAGCTGAAAAGATGCTGGAGGCGAAAAGGTAGGCTCTGCTGATACCTATGGGGCCACCTGTCTGACTGAGGACTTGGAATGCCTCGTTCTACCCTAAGCCTGGGCAGTTGTGGACAGGCTCCAAAAAGAAACTTGTTGACTTTTATGAATAGAATTTCTTTAGAAGCTCAGTGCCTCATGCAAATGGAAAGGAACTCATTTTGTCAACTCTAGCCTGCTTCTATTTAAATAGTGTCACATGATGGAATGGAAAGAACCCTGCAGCAGGAAGCCAAAGGCCCCAGGTCCACCTGCACTGTGTATTTCCTGGGTAACTGTGGTACGGTTACTTAGTTTTGCTGGACCTCACTTATCACATCTATAAAATAGGTACATCCTTTCCAGTTCAATGACTGTTAGACCCTTTGCCAGGCTGAGGATTCCAAGAAAGGAGAGGGAACCAAGAATGTAGACCATTTTGTATAGGTTCATTGTACATGCTAGAAGTAAGGTCTAAACAATGTTTCCCTGTATATCATTTGCATAAAGGGAGATCAAGGAACTTGCCTATTGCAAAAGCTTTGCTTATGGGTACACAGTAAGTCACTGTAGAAGCTAAGTATATATCCAGATATCTTCATCTTAACTGCACCTGTTCTTATATTTCCGAGTAAATTCACTGGATAAGCAGTCACTGAACCTTTCTAGACCTCAGTCCTTTCATTTATAAAATGAAGGGATACACAAAATGATTTGTGGGATTTTTGCAACTTAACATTCAGTGATTCTCTGAGTCTATAAATTGATTTCTCCTTAGAGTCTTTAAATTGAGAAATCAGAATTAAGCTTCTGCCTATGGAAAATATCCCATTATTATTAGATAAACTCTATTTTACTTTTCCAGCTTTAATTGCACACTCCTGCTTCTGATGCTCTTTCTTTACATTTGAGTTTGAAAAGATAATGAAGCTGAAAGCAATTTAGTTTTTTTTGTCATTGAAAATAAAACAAGTTCTTGGGGAAGAACTATCCCTATACATTTCTTTTATCCAGCAAGGACTATGTTCATTAGTTGATAGTCCAGTGTCAGGGCCATAAAACATAGAATGGGAATCAAACTAAAATTTAAAAAAAATTAATGATATCTCTTTCCCAAGGCACCTTTTTCAGAGCAAAATAGTCGTTGCCAGCCCATGTGTGATCGCGTCACATCTCAGCTGATACTTCTGAATTCGCACATTTAGCCAGTCTCCTGGCCAAGAGAGTCTCCCTAAGTCTGAATTTTAGTGTCACCTTTGTGGTGTGGAAGGTCCCTGAGTATGGCAGGATGTCTCACACCTTCCTGATATACATTTAAATGGTGCAATCACATTCCCTCTTTGGCCATCATGTCACAGGTTTTGCACCTTTGCCTTAGTGTCATTATCACTAGAGTCCCCATCATCCCAAGTACTGCCTGACACTTTCTTTTCCATTTCCTTGATACAACACAGTCCAAAGGGAGTTTAAACGTGTTCTGCATTTTAATATCCTTTTCCTCCCACTGACTTCTTAACTGTGCCAAGACTCAAAAGCTCCCCACGTGTATCTGACCAACGAGGAAAACGACGTTTCTACCATTCATTGTAGCCTTGTCAGAAACTAACTGCCACTAAAACCTGGTGTATCCAATGATAATGATGATACATAGTACTGGCTGGGTGCAGTGGCTCACACCTGTAATCCCAGCACTTTGGGAGGCCGAGGCAGGAGGATCGCTTGAGCCCATGAGTTTGAGACCAGCCTTAGCAACATAGTGAGAACAGAATAAATAAAAACAATTAGCTGGGCATGGTGGTGCCTGCCTGTAGTCCCAGCTACTCAGGAGTCTGAGGTAGAAGGATTGCTTGAGCCCAGGAGGTTGAGGCTGCAGTAAGTAGTGACTGTACCACTGCACTCCACCTTGGGTGACAAGGCAGGAACCTATTTCAAATAATAATAATAATACATAGTACCTACCAACTTTAAGAGCCGCGTATTGTGCCAAACACTATGCATATTATCTTGCTCAATCCTAAGTTAACCTTCATCTATTGGTTACAATTGCTTTCTTTATATAGATGGAGAAACCGATCCTCACAGAGTGAGTTCACACAACTCAAGTTTCCAGAGCTGAGATTTGGATCCAGTTATGCCTGACTCTGAGGTCCACTCTCCTCCCACTATCCCATATTGGCAACCCAAATTGGCCCTGACTTTCTTGTTGCTAAAGCGCACTGCCTTTTCCAGATCTTGCATCTGTCACTGAACTATGGACCAGAAAACAAAAGATTTAGTCACAGCTCTGCCAAGTAATTGAGAGCTTTTTTGCTAGGTAAAGCAGAATTTGATAAGCATCTCAGGGCTTTGTTTATGGCATCTAATAAGTTAATGTATATTCAAAAGTCTTAAAATTTACAAAGCACAATGTACTCTAAACAAGCACTATTATATCCTATGACAGTATTGCTAGATGATTTCTCACATTTATCTGTTCATTGGCTTCATTGGTGAAGGTTGAACAAAATACCATCTTTTTTTTGACCATACTGTTTGCCAGATGCAGAATTAGTACTGGGAACACAATGATGAATAAGATATGGCTCTGTCCTTTAAGAACTCATAGTCCAGTATATTCTTCCTCCAATCATAGCTATACTTAGAAGGGCTTTAGTGAAATCTGCAGCAATCACTGGTATGTGTGTGTGCATGCCTTTGTACTTAGGGTTGATTCATCCAGAATGATAACACACATATGCATATAATGCATACCTACCAGTGGCATCAGAACACAACTCACAATGTCACCTTGCTCTTTGACTTAGTGGTAGCTCACACCACCCCATGTCCTACCTACCAGTAGAAAGAAACCCTACTTTACAAAGGAATGTTTCTGGAAGAGTTCCATGGGAAAAATTGCCACACACATGTTCACACATGCACACAGGCAGATTCACGCATACAAAGGAATTTATCTCAAGCCTTTGTCTGCTGATACTACATTGGTAAAAGAGGCAGCCACAACTTTTCAGCTAAGCCTGGTACCCCTAATGTGTTCTCATACCTTTCAGACTTCACCCATGCTCTGCTAAACTGACCTCCCAGGAATTAATTACTTACCTTTAAACCATCCCTTTCCCTGGAAAACCTCCCCTACCCTATCCTAGAGATCTATACCACCCTGGAAGCATTACTTGATCATTTTCTGTGTTCCCGTAACATCTAGACCATGTCTCTGTGCATTAGTTTCATTGTACATGATTTTCTTGGAAATACATGAGAACCAGAGCTCCTATGAGCTCCTTGAATGAAACAATGTATTTTGTTCTCCTGTAGCTTGTCATATATTGGAAATTTAAAAGAAATGTAATAATAGCTATTATTTATTCATTTATTCAACCCACATTTAATTTTTAGCTCTGCTGGCTGCCCTTCAAGAATGCTACCTCCTTTGCATCCCTCACAAACAGTGGCTGCTTTTTTTCTCATGCTTCATATACCACTGTATTCGGCCATTTTTGCATTGCTATAAAGGAATATTTGAGGCTGGGTTATTTATAAAGAAACAAGGTTTAATTGGCTCATGGTTCTGCAGGCTGCACAGGAAGCTTGCTGTCAGTATCTACTTCTGGTGAGGACCTCAGCAAGCTAAAAATCATGGCAGAAGGTGAAAGAGAAACCTACTTGTCACACACCAACAGTGGAAGCAAGAGAGAGAAGACGGAGGTGCCACACACTTTTAAACAACCGGGTCTTACAAGAACTTACTATACTGAAGGGATAGCACCAAGCCATTCATGAGGGATCCACTCCCATGACCCCAACACCTCCCACCAGGCCCCATCTCCAACATTGAAAATTACATTTCAACATGAGATTTGGAGGGAACAAATATTCAAATTATAGCAACATTTTATGCTAAAAATGGAGCAAATATCCTCCCTGTTCCTCATTGTCACCACCAGGTCACTATTCTTTCTCCCTTACCTCTACCCTTGCCCCCTGCTGCTGTGATTTTTGGGCCAAAAGATTATACCTTCACTATTGCTATTCATCCATGATGCTATCACCTATACACCTCAGGTCACTCCTCTTCCTTCCTTAAATATTTTAGCACTGAATCAATCTAATGCTTGTCATAATTCTTGAGGACTTCAAGATCCACACCGGTAGCCCCTCCAACATTCTGGCCCCTCTATTCCTTGGTTTCCTTATTGCCGATGTTCTTGTCATTGATTTTTAGCCATTCACTGTCATGGTCATACTCAACACCTTCTTTTTTTTTTTTTTTTTTTGAGATGGAGTCTCACTCTGTCATCCAGGCTGGAGCGCAGTGGCGCTATCGCAGCTCACTGCAAGCTCGGCCTCCCGGATTCACGCCATTCTCCTGCCTCAGCCTCCCAAGTAGCTGGGACTACAGGCGCCCGCCACCGCACCCGGCTAATTTTTTTGTATTTTTATTAGAGACGGGTTTTCACCATGTTAGCCAGGATGGTCTCGATCTCCTGACCTCGTGATCCGCCCACCTCGGCCTCCCAAAGTGCTGGGATTACAGGCTTGAGCCACTGCGCCCGGCCTACTCAACACCTTTTGATTTAGTCATCTTACTCCCTCATAATCTCATTTTCAAGCTTTTCAAGTATCCAAACTTTGACTCCAACAATTCCCACTCTGCCAGCACGCCCACTGCATTGGTCCTGCCACCTTTTCACTCCCCCTCATCTCTTTCACATACTCACTTCCTTTCTTCTTCTTTTTTTCTCTCTCACAAATTTTCATTTACATTTTAATTCTTTTGTATATTTTTGCCATATATAAGTTCTAGTTTTCCGTTTAGTCAAATCCATCAATTTGCTTTGTTTTCTTTTTTTTATTATTATACTTTAAGTTTTAGGGTACATGTGCACAACGTGCAGGTTAGTTACATGTGTATACACGTGCCATGTTGGTGTGCTGCACCCATTAACTCGTCATTTAATATTAGGTATATCTCCTAATGTTATCCCTCCCCCCTCACCCCACTCCACAATAGTCCCCGGTGTGTGATGTTCCCCTTCCTGTGTCCATGTGTTCTCATTGTTCAATTCCCACCTAGGAGTGAGAACATGTGGTGTTTGGTTTTTTGTCCTTGCGACAGTTTGCTGAGAACGATGGTTTCCAGCTTCATCCATGTCCCTACAAAGGACATGAACTCATCATTTTTTATGGCTGCATACTATTCCATGGTGTATATGTGCCACATTTTCTTAATCCAGTCTATCATTGTTGGGACATTTGGGTTGGTTCCAAGTCTTTGCTATTGTGAATAGTGCCACAATAAACATATGTATGCATGTGTCTTTATAACAGCATGATTTATAATCCTTTGGACATACACTCAGTAATGGGATGGCTGGGTCAAATGGTATTTCTAGTTCTAGATCCTTGAGGAATTGCCACACTGACTTCCACAATGGTTGAACTAGTTTACAGTCCCACCAACAGTGTAAAAGTGTTCCTATTTCTCCACATCCTCTCCAGCACCTGTTGTTCCCTGACTTTTTAATGATGGCCATTCTAACTGGTGGGAGATGGTATCTCATTGTGGTTTTGATTTGCATTTCTCTGATGGCCAGTGATGATGAGCATTTTTTCATGTGTCTTTTGGCTGCATAAATGTCTTCTTTTGAGAAGTGTCTGTTCATATCCTTCACCCACTTGTTGATGGGGTTGTTTGTTTCTTGTAAATTTGTTTGAGTTCATTGTAGATTCTGGATATTAGCCCTTTGTCAGATGAGTAGATTGCAAAACTTTTCTCCCATTCTGCAGGTTGCCTGTTCACTCTGATGATAGTTTCTTTTGTTGTGCAGAAGCTCTTTAGTTTAATTAGATCCCATTTGTCAATTTTGGCTTTTGTTGCCATTGCTTTTGGTGTTTTAGACAGGAAGTCCTTGCCCATGCCTATGTCCTGAATGGCATTGCCTAGGTTTTCTTCTAGGGTTTTTATGGTTTTAGGTCTAACATTTAAGTCTTTAATCCATCTTGAATTAATTTTTGTATAAGGTGTAAGGAAGGGATCCAGTTTCAGCTTTCTACAGATGGCTAGCCAGTTTTCCCAGCACCATTTATTAAACAGGGAATCCTTTCCCCATTGCTTGTTTTTCTCAGATTTGTCAAAGATCAGATGGTTGTAGATATGCGGCATTATTTCTGAGGGCTCTGCTCTGTTCCATTGGTCTATATCTCTGTTTTGGTACCAGTACCATGCTCTTTTGGTTACTGTAGACTTGTAGTAGAGTTTGAAGTCAGGTAGCGTGATGCCTCCAGCTTCGTTCTTTTGGCTTAGGATTGACTTGGCAATGCGGGCTCTCTTTTGGTTCCATATGAACTTTAAAGTAGTTTTTTCCAATTCTGTGAAGAAAGTCATTGGTAGCTTGATGGGGATGGCATTGAATCTATAAATTACCTTGGGCAGTATGGCCATTTTCACGATATTGATTCTTCCTACCCATGAGCATGGAATGTTCTTCCATTTGTTTGTATCCTCTTTGATTTCCTTGAGCAGTGGTTTGTAGTTCTCCTTGAAGAGGTCCTTCACATCCCTTGTAAGTTGGATTCCTAGGTATTTTATTCTCTTTGAAGCAATTGTGAATGGGAGGTCACTCATGATTTGGCTCTCTGTTGATCTGTTATCGGTGTATAAGAATGCTTGTGATTTTTGTACATTGATTTTGTATCCTGAGACTTTGCTGAAGTTGCCTATCAGCTTAAGGAGATTTTGGGCTGAGACAATGGGGTTTTCTAGATATACAATCATGTCATCTGCAAACAGGGACAATTTGACTTCCTCTTTTCCTAATTGAATATCTTTTATTTCCTTCTCCTGCCTAATTGCCCTGGCCAGAACTTCCAACACTATGTTGAATAGGAGTGGTGAGAGAGGGCATCCCTGTCTTGTGCCAGTTTTCAAAGGGAATACTTCCAGTTTTTGCCCATTCAGTATGATATTGGCTGTGGGTTTGTCATAGATATAGATAGCTCTTATTATTTTGAGATATATTCCATCAATACCTAATTTATTGAGAGTTTTTAGCATGAAGCGTTGTTGAATTTTGTCAAAGGCCTTTTCTGCATCTATTGAGATAATCGTATGGTTTTTGTCTTTGGTTCTGTTTATATGCTGGATTATGTTTATTGATTTGCATATGTTGAACCAGTCTTGCATCCCAGGGATGAAGCCCACTTGATCATGGTGGATTAGCTTTTTGATGTGCTGCTGGATTCGGTTTGCCAGTATTTTATTGAGGATTTTTGCATCGATGTTCATCAGGAATATTGGTCTAAAATTCTTTTTTTTTGTTGTGTCTCTGCCAGGCTTTGGTATCAGGATGATGCTGGCCTCATTAAATGAGTTAGGGAGGATTCCCTCTTTTTCTATTGATTGGAATAGTTTCAGAAGGAATGGTACCAGCTCCTCCTTGTACCTCTGGTAGAATTCAGCTGTGAATCCATCTGGTCCTGGACTTTTTTTGATTGGTAAGCTATTAATTATTGCCTCAATTTCAGAGCCTGTTATTGGTCTATTCAGAGATTCAACTTCTTCCTGGTTTAGTCTTGGGAGGGTGTATGTGTTGAGGAATCTATCCATTTCTTCTAGATTTTCCAGTTTATTTGTGTAGAGGTGTTCATAGTATTCTCTGATGGTAGTTTGTATTTCTGTGGCATCGGTGGTGATATCCCCTTTATCATTTTTTATTGTGTCTATTTGGTTCTTCTTTTCTTCTTTATTAGTCTTGCTAGCGATCTATCCACTTCCTTTCTTATCTTCTTTTCTTTCTTATGTCCCATGGCCCATCGGTATACTCACCCCTGACATTCACTCTCAGCAACTTCGCATTCTTTCTATCATACTTGTCTGACAGCCACAATGGCTAAAGGTAACTGTTGCCCACTATAGTCCTGACCAGAGCAATGAAAAGCTGAGGAACTGATCACATTTCCCATCTATAGCCACATATCTCAAGTGGCCCCATTGGCAGCGAAGTAAATTCCTTCCATAAGTGGAGTGGCCCTACATGTTCTATGGTAAGAAGAAGGAATACTTGAGAACTTTAATACAATCTACAGTGGTAGCATTAAGAACAAAAATAAGTTGGTTATTCAAGATATATTTTGAGGCTAGGAATGACAGAAAGTAAACATAACTGAAGAGAAGAAATCATTGATGACCCCCAGGATTTGAGCCTGGTAACTGGGTAGATAGTAGTGTTATTCATCCAGGTGAAAAAACTAACAAGGAATAATGTGCAAGGTTAGGAGGTGGAGAAAAAAGTCTTTATCATCATCAGTCAGGTTAAGTCTGAGTTATCCAAGCGAAGATGTCACAGGATTGATTGCCCATGTAAGTATGGGGCTCTGTGGAGAAAAGTGAAGCTTAGAGATATTAATTTGACAGTAATCTGTATATACTTGTCATTTAAACCTAAGTTGATCACTTAAGATAGAAAATAAATAAGCAAAGGTCTGGGAAATCAGAGTCAACCCCTGAAGCAGCCCAACATTTTGTGACTAGATGAGAAAGCTAGGGAAAAATCGGCTAAGGAGCTTGAGAATCCGTGGCCAGAGAGGCTGGAAAGAAGTGTCACAGAAACCAAGAGAGCACTAGCATGTGCTGGACATTGAACACACATTATCCTCATCCTCCCACCTTGCTAAACAGGCACGGGTATTTCCATCTAACAGAAATAAATCAATACCTGGAAAGACTAATTACTTCATCCAAGTTCACACAAGTGATACATTTTAGTGTTGGTAATTAAACTGAAGTTGGCTCACTTAAAAATTCCTGTGTCTTCCATCACCCTTTACCATCTTAATTGAGGATAAAAAGGAAAGAAGGAACAAAGAAAGGGAGGGAGGGGAAGGCAAGGGGAGGAAAAGGGAAGGGAGGGAGGATAGGATGACTGAATGAATGACCCCTAGTGATCTGAGAGAAAAGCTTCAGGATGGAGTCTGGTTTTACTGGGAAGCTCACCCTGCTCCCTATGCATAGAAAGGAATGCAAAGAGGGCTTTACTCCTGATGAAGATTTCAACCTTCACTATAAGGATGCTGTGTCTTTTTCTTTTTCTTTTTAGATTAGTGGATGTTTTCTCTACCCCATCTTTAGCTCACATGCCTACTCAGAGCTGGTATTAATTAACTTACTATTGTATGTAAGGTGCTTGGAGGCAGCAGAAAACTGGGGCTATATAGATTTAAAAACAGAGTTGTCTCCTATCTGACTGCTGCTGACTTTCCCAACCCCAGTTCTTGTAGGTCAACTGGGGGAAGAAAAAGCCATTGAGTGAGTGAATCCCAATTTCTCCCCCACAGACTTGAAGTTTGTCTCCCTCTCTTCTCAAATGCTTACATATTTTTTCTTGTTATATTTGCTCTATCACTTACTAAATTTTGATGGTATGTTTCCCAGAGAGCCATTCCCATGAACTTTTTTTTCTCTTTGGAGAGAAAAGGGAGACTACTGAATGGGGGGAAAGGGGTGTTGAGGGATAGATCGTTGATTTCATTAGGCAGTTAGACCAGAAGCCAAAACTTTTAGCAGTACCAGACGCAGGGATTCCAATCAAATTTATTCAGAAATGTTTAGATTTAAGGGTGGATAGGACTAATATTAATAGTTAACTTGGTGGAATCACCATTGTTCTCTTGTTCCCCAAAAAGACTTACTTCATTTGTTTCTGTTTAGAAAACAGACTTATGAAATACAATTTTTTTTAAAAAAGTCCTTCATTTCCTGGCCTCCTCCTGGCTACATACCCCTTCTGTGATCATTAACTTCACCTCAGATTTTTCAAGCATTGTTTTCCCTTCATAACTCCAACTAGCCAAATTCTTTCTCATCGGATGCCTCCATCTCCCCTTGGTTTGGGGTACGATTTGTCCTTCTGACTGCCGCTTTGTTAAGCTGCATTGATTGCTTGCTTCTCCATCAACACAGGATGGTTTTTTTCTTATTATTACACTTCAAGTTCTAAGGTACATGTGCACAATGTGCAGGTTTGTTACATGTCTACCTGTGCCGTGTTGGTGTACTGCACCCATTAACTCGTCATTTACATTAGATATACCTCCTAATGCTATCCCTCCTGCCTACACCCACCCCACGAGGCCCCAGTGTGTGATGTTCCCCACCCTGTGTCCAAGTGTTCTCCTTGTTCAATTCCCACCTATGAGTGAGAACATGCAGTGTTTGGTTTTCTGTCCTTGAGATAGTTTGCTCAGAATGATTGTTTCCAGCTTCATCCATGTCTGTACAAAAGACATGAACTCAACACAGGATGGTTTTCTAGCTGGGCAGCGATCAGCCTTACTTCAGTGGTAGGGTCTCTGGCTCTGGCTGTTTTGTTCATACACAGCCAATATTAATAATATTTTTTCTCCTGTTTCTATAATAATTTTTTTGTTTAGATGGGGTCCTGCTCCATTGCCCAGGCTGGAGTCTGGAGTGCAGTGGCACAATGTTGGCTTACTGCAACCTCCACCTCCCAGGTTCAAGTGATTCTCCTACCTCAGCCTCCTGAGTAGCTGAGATTACAGGTGCATGCCATCACGCCCAGCTAATTTTTGTATTTTTAGTAGAGACGGGGTTTCACCATGTTGGTCAGGCTGGTCTCGAACTCCTAACCCTGTGATCTGTCTGCCTCAGCCTCCCAAAATGCTGAGATTACAGGCGTGAGCCACCATGCCCGGCCTGAATTGGGTTTTAAATTCTCCCAAATCTGCCATCTCAAATATGGCTGTGATACTATAATCCCATTTTTCTGGGAGGTATCAATGGGGCAAAAAACAAAGATCCCTGAAGTCCAGATTAATCAGAGGCAATACAAACATGCTTCCAGGGAGCCAAGCCTTTGCTTTTCTACTTGGCTAAGGCTACTTCTGCTCCCTAGGGCAACTGGCCAATCAGTGAAATGTGAAGGTTCTGGGAAATGTCTGCAAAACATTGAAAACTTCAAAAGGAGGGGCTATATAAGAATTGTAATGGAAGAACTAAATGTGCTTATCTTTACAATGACCCATAGAATCTAGCCTCTGGTCTTGGTGGAGTCCTTCCTTGTTGGATAATGGGGCACCCTATTGCTTAGCCTAGCAATCTGTTTATAGAGCATTCTCCCCTGGGTTTAGTAGGTCAATTAGAAGAGATCGTCATGTTCCACACTGACCATATTAGCCCATTGCTTTTGCCCCTGATATATGAATTTTATTTGCAGAAATCGAGTTTATAAAATGGAAACTAATACTTTTCATTATGAAGTGCTACCCCACTCCTTCTCCTTGTTCTCAGCTCTTATCACATTTCATCTCAAATTCTCCTTGTCCTGCCCTTCGCTTCCCTTGTGGCTTCTTTCATCTTTGCCTCTTAACCATTTTGTCACCTAGGACATATTTCCATCTTGCTTTAACTAATAGTTAATATTTGAGCACTTACCATATACCAGGCAATTGCCTGAAGCACTTCATGTGGATTAATTCACAAAATATTTTTTGAGTCAGTTTATATTATCATCTCTGCCTTAAAGGTAAAAACAAAACAAAAACTTCTGAAGCATAGAATGATAAAACAACTTCTCCCAAATCACATACGTAATAAATGGCCGGACAAGGGTTCCAGTAGGCCCTTAGAGTCAACCCTAGAACCTGAGCTTTTAACCTCCCCACCTCATTTGGATTCCCAATCTACCTATGAGGTCCTTTATTTAAAATTTAACAATTTGTTGAGTAAAATAAATTTGGTTTATGCATCTATTCCAAATCTTAGCAATGACGGCTTTGGGATAGTTGACATCTATGTTATGAGCTCCTGAATCAAATGTCTTAATTGTCTCAGGTGTAGGTGTCCTTTCTATTCTGACATCTGAAAGCTGAGTATTGGCTGGAGATAGCCGTGAGCTTTTTTCTTACTGCTTTTTCTATTTTCTTGCTCCCTTCCAAGTCTTGGTCAGTTGGTTATCTTTAATATCTTGCTGGGATCTTCCAAGCTGTAGAAATTTTAAGCAGTGACTACCAATGACACATTTAGCTCAGCTACAGATCAAACTGGGAAGAAAGTCACATGAAATGGAAGTGACATGTACCCTACCTGATCCTGGGAGAGATGTTAAAATACACATCATCAACTAAAGCCCTCCATGGGACCCCACTACACTTCCGAGCCTTTCAGATTTCCCCCATGCAGCAATGCTAACTTAAAAAAAAAAAGGACTGGGTTGAGTATTTAGCAGTCACCTTCACTGTAACACTCTGCAGTGTATAGCATCTTCACTGAAATCCTTTTGAGAAAGACCTAGACTGGGAATGGTAGAGAGATTCCAGGAATGGAGGAGAAATCCCTAGCACACTTTAAAATATAGATATTACTACCAATAGACTAGCAAACTAAAATGCAATAGCGAAAATAACTGATTTCTTTTTTTTTTTTTTTTTGAGACGGAGTCTTGCTCTGTTGCCCAGGCTGGAGTGCAGTGGTACCATCTCAGCTCACTGCAAGCTCCACCTCCCGGGTTCAAGTGATTCTCCTGCCTCAGCCTCAGCCTCCCAAGTAGCTGGGACTACTCGGCACCCACCACCACGCCTGACTAATTTTTTGTATTTTTTAGTAAAGATGGGGTTTCACCATGTTAGCCAGGATGGTCTCGATCTCCTGACCTTGTGATCCGCCCGCCTCAGCCTCCCAAAGTGCTGGGATTACAGGTGTGAGCCACCGCACCCGGCCTGATTTATATTTCAATAACCACAAACTAATCAATTAAAACTCATT
Organism: Homo sapiens; assembly: GCF_000001405.40. Classification (NCBI taxonomy): domain Eukaryota; kingdom Metazoa; phylum Chordata; class Mammalia; order Primates; family Hominidae; genus Homo; species Homo sapiens. Next base: position 86,715,731 of record NC_000015.10, on the reverse strand, counting down.
AATTATACATTTTCCCTGTGCTTTTCCTTCATCTTTCTTTCTTTCTTTAAATTCCAACAGCCATCCCTACTTAGTAACACAATCTTGCAGATAAAACAGATCCACCAAGCTATCTTCTTCCTCAAAAAATTTCAGAGAATAAGCTTAATACAGTTTTCATTCCAAATTATCAATTCCACATCAATCAGTAACTATTCTATTTGCTAAAGACCCAAAGAAAGGTAAAATAAGACTAAATCACCATGAAAATGGGATCAGTTCAGTTATGAGTTAAAAATCTGTGAATTCTTATTTCTTGGTATTAAATACTCAGGTATAAACGCTTCTACGAGAAGACCATAGATTGTAGCTGTGTGAGGGGCAGGAGCTGCAATACCAAAGAGCAGTCCATCAGAGCTGTTTCCTTTGTGACTTCTCCGCTGGGTGATAAGGATAATTTGCCATTATAGAAATAGTGAACAGCAACAATAACAGGTACATAGGTCTCTGCCACTAATTCACTGTGCAGGATTTAGATTATTTTCCCCCATTCTCTGACTTCAGACCTAGCAGAACAACTCCATTCTCAGCATTCAGCTTTGCAGGCTTAAATCAGTGAAGTTGCTGGGCCAGGTCAATTTCTTACATCTCCCCTTCCTAAAAGCAGATTACATTCCCACGTCTGGGCCAGCAAAAGTGCTGGGGGCAGGGAGTACAGAGGCATGGTGGGATGAGGAGGAAGGTCATACGGAAGATCATTAAAGTACTTAACTTTATTTGAGCAACCCTAAATTTCAATAATCCAAAAATTTAAAGTGGTGAGCACACCACTTAAAATACTTGGAGTGCAGACTGATTGCATGCCTGCTGGGAGACATCAGACAAGGAAGCTCCAAATAGGAGGGATGCTGAGCAGGGGCCCCTCCCTTGATGCTCCCTGCTTGTTTCCCTTCAGGGGACCCTTTACATCGTGGTAGAATGGGGAAGCAATGAAGCCTAGAAGCATCAGGAAGCCTTCTTCTCTTTTTGGGAGCCATGTTGACTTTCAGAGGGTTATTGACAACAAGGTCACGACTTTACTCCACAGTAGAGGACTTTGTCAGGAAAGCTGAATCATGCCTGCTCTGAAAGGTTATGCTGGCATTCAGGGTCTGTAAACTTTTTTTTCTAGACGTTTGAATCTTAGTTGTTTCTGTTTCTTATAGACCTCACACCACTCCATGATGTCTCATACCACTCAGGCTCCTGATTATCTGCACACACACATGGCTTTGATAAGACAGCCATTGCTCCAAATCCCCTAGAGTTTAAACTGCTTCAATTCCTTGCTTCCAGGCTAATTTCCCACTGATAGTTTATCTTATGATCTGTTTGAGTCTTTGCTGTGCTTCCCATCCTTGTGTTCTGCCCTTCCCTCTCAGCTCAGCCCACTGACATTCAACTACACTTGAGTTCTGATTCACATATCACCTGAGCCTTGAACTCCTTTATCCCTGTCACCAGTAAAATGTGCCTTTGCCATCCTCTGCAACTTAACGGCACATGGGTTGTATTTCTTGGGCCCCTTATCATTGCCTCATAATTAATTCTGTGTTTATATGCACCCCTTTCCCTAACACTATATATTCTTTGAAGGAAGTGGTGGTAGCAATTATATTTATAACTCCTATGCCTCATAGCTGGTGTCCACATGTGTTGCCTAGACAGAGTAAAAGTTCAGCTATCGACACAGGTTATTCTTCTCTCCTGTTGCCTATGCTTTCAGCCTTTGTGTGCGCGTTCAAGGAAAGACACACGTAGACACCCATCATGCATGGCATAATTTCACTCTCTCTAACAGCCGCATGCTCAACTTGGTCAAATGCTCTTTAATTAGCAAACTCTAATCCAAGTCTACGTTACAGCTCTTTCATGATTTATTTGATTTTAGTGGATTTCTTTTAGTAGATTCATGGGAAAAAAAAAATACACTCTCTAGCCTGTTCACTTTAGCTTTGGGGCTGAAGGAGCTCCCAAGGCACGTCCTGGTGAGTTATGTACCCTGGAGGAGCAGTGCTTTAGGCTCCCATCACTAATTTATTATGCTGACCTGAAACACTTTGAAGAGTATTGGGGCACAGTTCTGTCTTCTATTAGATCACTCCCTAGTTAGCATCACCCAGTTCTTTTCCCTCTTGCTCATTCATTTATTCAAAATATACTTTAATTTCCACAACCCGTCTAGTGCTCTATGGGCACTGGGGATACCAATGTAATACTTATAATTGTAACAACCATGCAGTCCAGACCAAGAGTGGGATTATGTTTAAAGCAATGCACTTCCATAGCCATAATTAATTAAAAATCAACTTAAATATGGATTTGTATATTTTAGAAAGTAAGGAGGCCCTGTTTGCAATCCACAGCAACGCTTCATAACATACACATTTTTCTAATTCCAATGCTCTCTTCTGCTCCACCCCTAGCATTTTTTTCCCCAGTAAAACTCTTCTATAAACATGCTGCCTGAATTTTCTATCTTTGTCCTTCCCCAAACTCTTTCATAATTAATGATGTAGCTATACTTAGCCTCCCTTTCTCTTTCAGTGGAAGAAAAGGAGAAAGGGAAAGGGCAAAAATAAGATTCTATGTAGTAGGAAAGGGAGTGTAGGGTCCAGTAATGCCTGTGTAAATAAGACAAAGACCCCAGCCTCAAGGAGCTTGCTTTCTCCTGGGGAAACAGACACACAAGCTAAATTGTCCCTTCTGTGGGATGGGTTGTAGTGCACATCATTATCACATAGGAAGGGGGTGGCAATTGTTAAAATCGCATCATGCAGACCAGGAGAGGAGGGAACCATGGAATGAGGCTGGAGAGGGCAGGAGCCCCATCCCAGAGGGTGCTTAAGGCTTCTGTTCAGCAGGCTAAGCTTCAGCTCCAGCCCTTGCTGCTATCTTCACTAATCAAGTATCTAGTTCCTGGAAACAGACTCCTCATCTTTTTTGTTACTTAATGAGTCCGGAATTGGACCAGATGCCTTGTTGTGTTCCAATCAGCACCTTACAAAAGGCCCGTATCCCAGGACTAATAGAATAGCCCTCTGAACACAAGCTGACAGCATTTTAGCTCTTTCCATCACTGCTGCACAGTGAATCCAAAATGTAAATGTTCATTCTCAGAGTACAGGCGGATTTTTTTTCTCTGCTGTATTAACTAATTAAGCACCATTTAAGTTGTACTTAGCCTGGGCATTATTTCTACCCAAGTGCATCACTTAGCCACATTAAGTTTCATATTCCACTTTGAAGCCCAATTGCCTAATCTCTCAGTGTTTATTCTGTGAAATGGTTCTAGCTGGGTTTCTTAACATTCCGTTTTAATGTCAGTGGTAAATTAAAAAAAAAAAAAGTACACATCGTCTCTGTAATCCCTTCTACTAAGTACAAGCAAAGAAAGAAACATAATAGAGAGACAATTTATGCTCAACAAACTTACAAAACGAGGCTGGGACATCTTTATTATTGCTTTGTTTGTTTTAATTATTTCTACCCTAAATCCATGATAAACAAGGAAATGGAAACACTGAAAATTTTAACAATATTCTCATGGTCACTTAAAATGTCTATACTAAAATGTATTAGTAGCTTAGGTTAGTATAAAAATCAAAGGCTATAGAGTCAGAAAGGTTGAGGTGGAGGGCAGGGGTGAATTTGAGCTCAGATAGCACTCAGCTCTGTATCTTTGCAGAAGTGACTTCTCTGGGTGTCAGTTTCCTCATTTGCAAGACAGCAGAAATAAGACCCACCTTGCAAAGGCTGTTAAGAGAGCAAATGAAAGCACCTAAAATGTCTTGTCCATATAAGACATATGTGATAGCTGCTCTGATGATGGTGATACTATCACAGTATTGATTTCTATCTTCTGAATCAAGAGTGGACAATCTTTTTTTCTCTGAAGTGCCAGATAGTAAATATTTAGACTTTGTGGATCAGGAAACACATACTCTGCCACTGTAGCAGCAAAGCAGCCACAGGCAATAGCATGTGAATAAGCATGACTGTCTTTGTAGGCCATTCAAAACAGGTCATAGGCTGGACTTAACCAGTGGGCCATAGTTTGCCAACTCCTGTTCTTTGCCATGACCTATTAATTCATTCAACAAATATTTATCTGGGTGCCTACACTAAGCTAGCAACCGTACTAGATTAGCAACTGTAAGGGCTAGCAGTTCTTGGAAAATTCATATTCTTGTAAGACTTACCTACATTCCTATAAGAGGAGGCAGTGACTAAGCATGGACACAAATGCTATAAACAAGAAAAGCACCCAATAATGCTGGCACGATGCAGAGAATTAGAACAGATGTCAGTGACAAGGTGGATACATGAGGCTTCTTGCCATATCTTGCCACAGAGAGGTTCAAAGTACTGCAGAACTCATTTACCAAAAGGCTTTCATTGATCTTGTTGGAACTTTTACCTCAGGATTTTTGTAAAGATTTTCAACTTCCTCAAGTTTCCTGTTTCCAAAGAACTAAGCTGGGTTTTACAGTGCTGATCTCTTGGACAGGTATTTACAGAGAGGAAAACACTTGAAACATATATAAGGTACCAACGGCTCAAGAGTACAGCAGAGCTTGGACCTCAGTATTACCCACAGTCTTGACAGCATATTGAAGTATTTGCTTCCCCAAACTCCCTAGAGTCCTATGTGATCAGGGGAAGTCACCTTGTGGCCTAGGGTCTAGATCTAGTGAGAAAAATCATCCCATGGAAACCTGCTATATGTTGAGCCCTGAACTTTAAAACCATTGGATTTGTTCTTCTCAAGAACCCTGGAAAGAAACTATTATGATTCTTATTTTATAGATCCAAAATTTGAGGTTTCAAAGACTGTGACTTGTCACAAAGTCAGTAATTGGCAGTGCTAATATTTGACCTTGAAACTGTCTGCTTATCCCTCCATTCCTGGCATTTTGTGCTTTTCCAGCCATTCCAAAGAATTGCTATGTTTCTTTCTAGATCTTCAACCTTGGCACCCATTGTCTATTGCCACTTGACTATTACTTATAAACCTATCTGAAACCTATCCATATGCTTAACACTGATAAGGAATGTTGCCAGGCGACTTAAAAAAGAATTCAGTTGTATTGCATTTACTTGTTTCCTCTTCTAGCTGGTCCAATAGCAATTTAATTTTAAAGGGTAATCAAATGTGTTTGACATGATTTATTTTCACAAATCTACGCTGCCTCACACCAATTAAATTGCACTTTTCCAAATGTAATGCTGAGCAGAGCCTTAAGTATCAGCTCAAATTATCTTTCCATTGGAAATAATAGAACTACCTTGGTTCACAGTCATTCATTATTTTAAAAATAATGGGATGTTATTTGCAGTTTTATAATCATTTATATCTCTTGATTCAAAAGACAACTAACAATGGGTCTAATAGGTCTTACTAAGTAAAGCGATGAATTCTCTAATCACGTGCATCACCCCAACATGCAATCCATCGATACTTGGTGTTTTGTCTAATTATATTTTTCCCAAAGCATTGTAATGCATCTGAAGGATTGGCTGTCACATTTTTTTCTAAGTTCAGCAAATCAGCCTCTTCCTGTAAGGGATGATGAGTGCGACAAAAAGTGATCACATACAATCCTTCTATTTAGTACCTTTGTTCTAGCACATCCCCTCCAAATTATCTGCTCCTCGCCCCATTCAAAGCCAGACTAGCATTTTGGCCATGTGTTAGAACCAGCTATGCATATTGCTCATCTTTGAAGCAGGGAAAAGTTGGGGCAGCAATAAACATAAAAAGAGTACAGTTAACAGGATAACAAGGCTCTCTATTTAATGATTTTCAATGAACACAAATAGCAATTAGGAGATTTAGTACATTTCATTAAGCATTTACTATGGGCCAGACTCTATGATAGAAACTTTAAATAGGGAAACTATGATTTAGAAAAGTTTAATCATTATCTGGGAGGACAAAAGGACAAAGTAGATGGAGGTAAGATTTAAATTGTTCTAACATCCATATGGTTTCCATCACACCATGCTGTCTTCCCATAGATCAAATACCTACTCTAGTCACAATTCCTTGTTGATGTTATTGGTGAACAAAGACAAGATTGTGTTGGCTATTCTTTGGTTTTCAAGCACATAGCAGCGATATCATTATGTATTTCATAAATTGTCATTTGTTGAATGTCTTTGCATCATTGGAATTAGCCATGAAATACAGAAAGGAAAATATATTTCGAGCCAATGCCATTCAGTTTTGCAAAGCCTAGGTCATAGTAAGTGCTCAGTAACTATGTATTGATTAGTAGATCTCTTGGCTGCTTGATTTGTTGGCTAGATACTTGAGCATGCATTCAAAGAGTTTTTGTTCCCCTGCCTTCCCCACCTGCTTTTTGAAAAATTCCTCCTAAACATAAGACAAGTAGGAAATAACACACAACCCAATAGCAAAAAAGAAATAAATTGCCCAAAAAAGTCTAGAGAGTTTTAAGTAGGAGGTCACTATAGACTGATGTAAGAAAAGTTTTATACAAGTGCCTGGATTGAGTCTGTCTTCAGATGATGAGTACAAGTTTTGTGTGTGGAGGGATGAGAAAAGTGTTTTCCAGGAGAGGGAATACCATAGATAGGATTATAAATACAAGAATTAATGTAGTATAATCTTGACGTAGTGAAGTGAATTGGAATTTGGCATTTGAGCTTTGAGAAAATAGTCATACCTTTTAGTTAAGTGGGCTCAGATTTTGAACACACCTTAAAAAGCTGGTTAAGGATTTGGAGCTTGTCCTGGGAACTCTCACAGGTACATTAAATGAGCTTGAGCAGTGGAAGTGAAGCAACAAAATGGATGATTTAGGACTTGGCAAGTGTGCAAAATTAACAAGAGTGCTGGGTAGCTATAGGGAGATGCTGTGAACCAAGTAAGTCACTGAACAAGGAGGGCCTGGCCTAGGGTGATATTGTCAGTAGCATGAAGGAAACACACTTATAAAATAGAGCAAGGCTCAAATTGTAGTTCCTACATCTTTAAGTTCTGAGTTCTTATAATTCAGTGAATTAACCTCTTAGAACATCAGTGTCTTCATCTATAATAAAACCTCATTAACACAGGGCTTTTGCAAAGATTTTTTGAAATCTGGCATAATATATACATAGCTCTAATTCTGGAATATTGTAATTAACCTTGTCTTAGACTGCTCAGGCTGCGGTAACAAATACCACGAACTGGAAAGCTTTAACAATAGCAATTTGTTTTCTCACTTTCTCATAGTTATGGTGGCCTGAAGTCCAAGATCAAGGTCTAGCAGGGTTCTGCTTCTGGTGAGGGCTATTTTCCTGACTTGCAGATGGCCACCTTCTCACTGTGTCCTCATATGGCCTTTCTCCTTGTGTACACCTGCAGAGAGAATGACCTCTCCTATGTCTTTTCTTACAAGGACACTAACCTTATGAGATCAGAACCCTGCCCTTATGATCTCATTTAATCTCAGTTACTTCCCTTAAGACCCTATCTCCAAATATTGGGTCCAATCCAATATTGGCCAAATATTGGCTTCAACTTTAACCCCTAATGTAACTACATTTGGAGAGAGGAGAGCACGATTAAGTCCAAAAGCAGTATACATGTGTTAATGCCTGTGTCACTGAAAGAAATAGGATGAAAAATATTAAGAATGGCAATTGTCAAGCAGTAGCTACAGACTACAGAAGGAAAATGAAAGAAGGCAACAAGTTAAATGGAATGTCAATGTTTTGAGACTGAGTAGCTAAAAGAATTGTGGTCTGTGTTGGACCTCCCCGCTCCCTCTATTAACCCTCCATTTCCAACTATGATTTCCAAAGAGCTGTCATCCATAGTCTAATCAAGTATGGCCCCTTTAAAGATTGGTTAACATATATCTATCTCCTCATCTCCATTGAAAAAGGAAGTTCAGCTTCTACTTCTAGGAAAATGCTCAGAAGATCTCATGATAACAATAGTCTTTCAGAAACAGTTTTTGTCATGGAAGAATTCAACAGCCTCCTTATGCAATGTTGCTTCAATATTTTATAAAGAAAGTCCAGAAAAAAGGATTTTTATTGAACTTATGAGGCTTTGCTTTTCTTTGGTGTGGTTTCTGTAAACTCTACACATTCGATTTTGTCTTTTTTCCAAATTATGGGAAAGGTATGAGAGGAAAGCATGCAATAGTCAATTACATTTCTACAATGTAGTATCTTTAGAACATGAGGGATGTGGTGTGTGCAAACGTGGCAGAGTATGTTTTATTTAATGCTCTCTCTCTACAGAGCTGGGAAAAACAAAAACAGAGCCAAGCTACACAGTTTCATGAAAACATATTCTTTCCTATTTGCTTGACTGGAAAGTAATATTTACAGAGTAACCTCCAACTGATAAAATGGAAATCATTCCCATGACACCATCAAGAAAAATAACTGACTATATACCTGGATTTATTTTTATTCCAATTTTTGGATTCATTGGTGGAGTAGACCTTTGTTCCCTATTATGGTATTGTGCACAGATGTAAAGGTGATGTAGTGTTATGAGAAGAGACAGCTGAAAAGGGAAAGGAATCCCTGTATGTCAGGTACTTGCTGAGTGAAGTGCTCTAATAGGATCTAGCACATAGCTAGCAAAACTAGAGAGATGAACAGATAGAGAGACTTACAGCTCAGGGACAGAATGTTGAGTTGTTCACATTATATGATTCATGTTGCATCATCATTATCAGTAAATGCAAAGTCCATCTCTTATTATATCTATTCATTTTTCCCTTTTGACTACGTTTTCCACTCTTATCCCTTTTTACTCTCCATAGGAAAATGTGTTGTGTCATAGATGAGTAACTGGTAGAGAAAACTGAAGTAAGCTAGGTTAAGTAGGTGTTTCTAATATTCCACAACAAATTAGTGCAAGTGCCTGGATTTAAATTTGGGGCTAGTTAAAATGTATATTCCATTGAATATGCTTATTTTGCAAAATCCTCAAAGACAGAAGATAAAATATGCCCAAAATTTGGAACAAACAATGGGATGCATTTGTCTTGTAAGGAGAACAGCATGGTGTTAGGCAACTGTGTTAACTGTCTACGTACACCATTTCTTTAAATTTAATAGCTTTTTCTTATAAAACAAATCGCGAGCCTTAGGGAATTGTGATTACTAGCATGTTGCAGCAAGTTTTACAAAGCAAACTTAAATCTTTCCTGAAGAATATGTTCTCAAGGAGATGAGTGCAAGGTTGTGGGAGAAGGTTAGCAGTGATTACCATAATTAAGTGCTATAATCAAACTCAAAAGACTGGCATTTCAAATTTATCCCCAAATTAACAGACCAGGTCCAAGAATCTGAGTTCTGCCTCTATGATTTTTTATTAAATAGAGCTTTTCCAAGCTTTTTCTTTTTTACCACTTGAACTTATTTCATAATCTTATATCATTTTGTAAAAACCCCTTGGGATTTTTCAAAATATTTTTTAAGTTTTTATTGTGACAATAAAAAATGAATTAAGGTTAAAAACGATATTTTATCTTTGATCGGTAAACTATGACATATATAATATATAGTTAATTTAGCATAACCTTCAATAGTATTCATAATCCATATAGACAAATTTTACTTTTTCCATTTGCAATTGGCAGACGTTATTTAATAATTGATTTCAGATGGAAATTAAGCCATGAAATTAAACCTTACCTTATAGATCTCATGTCTTGAATTATTGCATTTGGTACTTAAAAAACTATTTATTTTTAAAGTTTTTTTTTTCCAAAAGATGAAGTAAGAGAGATGGTTTCAGTATTCCATTTGCAAGTACTTCTCCACATATAACACCATGTTGCTTGTGAAGATAGTGTTTATTTCCCCAAAATGAAAATCAAACTAGATGTAATCATCACTGAATTTTATCTTTTTAACATTGGTTTTCAAAGCACTAGAGACACCTTGATGTGCTCTGTGAGAATTTTGATCAGATGAATGCACCTCAAAGATCCAGTGAAAATGCATGCACATCAATGCCCCTTATGCTTCCTGTTGCCAACCAATGGTACATTAAGAGTATAAATTAAACAATGTATGACTTAGAATAAGACAATTTAAGGCTGTATAATGCTTACATCCCCATAACCACTAGCAGTCTCAATTGAGGAATGAAGCGAGTGGCTGGCTCATTTAACTCCAATGCTAAATGATAAACATACTTTCCAGTAATTCAGCCAATACATATGGAGGTCTTGCCATGCAAGAACACTTTACGTGGATTACCTAGATTGATTTTCACCATAACTCTATGAGTTTGAAATTATTTGTTATGCTTGTCCAAGTGAGGAAACACAAATTCATGGAATATGTTTTAGTCCATTCTTACGTTGTTAATAAAGACATACCCAAGACTGGGTAATTTATTTAAAAAAGAGGGTTTTTGTTTTGTTTTGTTTTGTTTCAGTTCTGGGATACTTGAGCAGAACATGCATGTTTGTTATACAGGTATACATGTGCCATGGTGGTTTGCTGCACCTATCAACCCAACATTTAGGTTTTAAGTCCTGCATGCATTAGGTATTTGTCCTAGTGCTCTCCCTCCCCTTGCCCCCCACCAGCCACTGACAGGGCCCAGTGTGTGACGTTTCCCTCCCTGTGTCCATGTGTTCTCTTTGTTCGACTCCCACTTATGAGTGAGGACATGCAGTGTTTGATTTTTCTGTTCCTGTGTTAGTTTGCTGAGAATGATGGTTTCCAGCTTCATCCACGTCCCTACAAAGGACATGAACTCATTCCTTTTTATGGCTGCATAGTATTCCATGGTGTATATGTGCCACATTTTCTTTATCTTGTCTATCAGTGTTGGGCATCTGAGTTGGTTCCAAGTCTTTGCTATTGTAAATAGTGCTGCAATAAACATACGTGTACATGTGTCTTTATAGTAGAATGATTTATAATCCTTTGGGTACATACCCAGTAATGGGATTGTTGGGTCAAATGGTATTTCTGGTTCTAGAACCTTAAGGAATCGCCACACTGTTTTCCACAATGGTTGAACTAATTTACACTCCCATCAACAATGTAAAAGCGTTCCTGTTTCTCCACAGCCTACCAGCATCTGTTGTTTCCTGACTTTTTAATAATCACCATTCTAACTGGCATGAGATGGCATCTTATTGTGGTTTTGATTTGCGTTTCTCTAATGACCAGTGATGATGAACTTCTTTTGATATGTTTGTTGGCCACATAAATGTCTTGAGAAGTGTCTGTTCATATCCTTTGCCCACTTTTTGGTAAGGCTGTTTATTTTTTTCTTGTAAATGTGTTTAAGTTCCTTGTAGATTCTGGATATTAGACCTTTGTCTGATGGGTAGATTGCAAAAATTTTCTCCTATTCTGTAGGGTGCCTGTTCACTCTGATGATAATTTCTTTTGCTGTGCAGAAGGTTTTTAGTTTAATTAGATGCCATTTGCCAATTTTGCCTTTTGTTGCAATTGCTTTTGGTGTTTTAGTCATGAGTCTTTGCCCAGGCCATGTCCTGAATGGTATTGCCTAGGTTTTCTTCTAGGGTTTTTATGGTTTGGGATTTTACATTTAAGTCTTTATGCATCTTGAGTTAATTTTTGTATAAGGTCTAAGGAAGGGGTCCAGTTTCAGTTTTCTGCATATGGCTAGCCAGTTTTCCTGGCACCATTCATTAAGTAGGAAATCCTTTTCTCATTGCTTATTTTTGTCAGGTTTGTTGAAGATCAGATGGCTGTAGATGTGTGGTGATATTTCTGAGGTCTCTGTTCTATTCCATTGGTCTATATATCTGTTGTGGTACCAGTACCATGGTATTTTGGTTACTGTGGCCTTGTAGTATAGTTTGAACTCTGGTAGCATGATGCCTCCAGTTTTGTTCTAAAAAAAAGAGATTTAATTGACTCACACTTCCACATGGGCAGGGAGGCCTCACAATCATGGTGGAAGGTGTAGGGGAAGCAAGACACATCATCTTACCTGGCAGCAGGCAAGAGAGCATGTGCAGAGAAACTCCCCTTTATGAAAACATCAGATCTCATGAGATTTATTCACTAGCAGAAGAACAGCATGGGAAAAAACCATCCCCATGATTCAGTTACCTCCCACCAGGTCCTTCCACAGGGATTATTACAATTCAAGGTGACATTTGGGTAGGGACACAGAGACAAACCGTAACAGAAAAACAGTCACTAAGAATTTATTTTATCGCACTGTTCTAGGCTTTTCCAGTATATTTTCTCATTTAATCTTTAGATCAACATTATAAAAGAAGTACTATTATTATTCCTATTTGATGGACTCGGAAATGGAAACATAAACAATGTAAACAACTCACCTAAAAGCACATCATCTGCTTACAAAAAGAGCCAGAGTTAAAGTCACGCCATATGGCTCCAGAGTCCAAGCTCTTACCACCATGTTATGCTCATTAAGAGGCAGAGCCAGTATTCAAACTCAGTGTATCCAAACTGTTTTCTTGATGTATATCTATTCGTCTAGGCATTTAAAAAATAACAAGTGAAACAAAAATGCTATTCCACTTGTAATAATGTGAATTTACCAGAATACTACAACCATGGTTGGAAACATTGATTCATTATCACCACTCTACCCAGTTGATAAAAGCCTTTCAGTGTTGCTCCTTAAAATTATTCTCTTGGATTCTGAGACACTACAATAACTGGATTTTCCTCCACTATATCTGGCCATGTATTCTCAGTCTTCTTTGATAATTCATCCTCATCCTCCAATCATTTAAAAGTTGAAGTGTCCCAGGGGTCAGTCTTCGAATTATATTTCTTTTCCATCTACACTTGCTTCCTTGAAAGATTTTTTTAAGCACAGAGATTATAGTCCAAGTCATTGGAGGTTGACGTAATTACCCCAGGAGACTGGGCAAGGAAAAAAAAAGGGAAGCTAAGAAACTCCTGGAAACACCAGCAGACGAAGACAAGCAAGTGAACTATATTACCAAGTACTTAGACTGTTAAGAGGAGACACATAGGAGATGCAAGAAAAGTGTGAAGGAAATAAAGGGAGAAAAGAGTTTAAAGGTGGAGAGAGAAATGTACTACTTGTTACAAAGAGGATAGTGCAATGAGGACTGGAAAGAAGGAAGTGGATTTGGCAGCAGTGTGGTGTCCCTGTTGAAAGTAGTTCCTATGGAGTGATGCTGCAGTGAGTTAGGGAGTGGATGGGAAAGGAGGAGTCAAGTATAATTTTGAAAGGGTAAGAAAAGAGAAACAAGTGATGATAAAATAATGTAAACCCTTTGATTCATTTATCCATTCAGTACTTATTGAGCACCTACTATATATCTAGAACTATTGAAGGGACTGACTACATAACACTGAACAAATCAATAAGGCCATCTCTGTCCTGCTAGAGTTCCACTCTAGTGGACTTGATGAAAGTAAAATATTTTTATTAGTCTATGGGGAATTATTACAGGTATAATATTCACATTGCTTGTCAGTTCCTTTTTATTATACTAATTTAATATTTGTCATGGCTTATTTACTAGATTTAAGTTTTCAAAACTAAAAAGTAAACCTCTCTTTACTCATGTCTATATTTCTTTGTAATACTCTGATATTTACATTTGTTTAATATGAGCTATGGATTGGAGCTATGGATAGGATTTAGTGATAATTTGTTGTAGTAGATCAACCACAAGGGAAGGGGAGGGAAGAGAAGAAAAGAGGAGAGAAGGGTTGGGGTAGATCAGCCACAAGGGAAGGGGAGAGAAGGGAGAGAAAGTGAGAAGGGGAGTGGAGGGAAGGGATAGAGGAGGGGAGGGGAAGGAAGGGTAGTGGATGGGAGGAAAGTGAAAGAAAGGGAAGGAAAGAAAAAAGAGAAGGGAAGGGGAAGGAATGGATAAAGGAGAGATGGGGAGTGGAAAGGAGGAGAGGTGGGGAAGAGAAAGGAGGGAAGGAAGGAGTGGGGAGGGGAGAGGAGTGAAAGGAAGGGGAAAGGAGTGAAAGGAAGGAGAGAGGAGTGGAGGGAAGGGAGTGGAAGGCAGAGGAAGGGAGGAGGAAGAGAAGAGGGAAGGAAGGGGAGGGAAAAAATGGAGAGGGGAGGGGAGGGGAGGAGAGGAGAGGAGACATGTTTTACCATTCTATCTGGTTCTCTTCAACTGCTTTCTTTTCCTAATCTCTAGAGACCATTCAAGAGACAAAGCAAGTCTTAACCTTTGAGTATAAGCCTCTTATTGTTTCACAATTTAATCTTGATTTACCCACAATTCTGATGATGTATATCTTTGTGCACACTCAGCACAATTCAGCTGGGACTTTGTAAACATCCATGTGGATTCTATCAACTATTTATGAAGGATTTCCAGAATTATTAACAATTCTAGCTTCAGAATTATGAACACACACAACCAGAGTCCCCATATTTTTTCACCCTTCACCTCCCCTCTCCAATGAAACCTCCAACACACACCACTCTCTAAAAGCACCAAATGTGAAAATCATATCCTCTCTTGTCTCCTTCTCTGTGATAATTACTCCATTTCCTTACTTTATAAAGAGCACACAGGCTGAAATTCTCCCAGCAGAATGTCATCATTTACTTTCCAAAGCAGGCACAAAATTAAAAAGCACTGTGGATAATGGAATGCAAATGATCCGAGGCTGACACCTTCTTAACAAAGTTAAACTGTTAATGTGCACCTGGAATTCATCCAGGGAATGAGCACAGGACACAGCTCTGGAGCAACCCTCAGCACTTTATTCCCTCAGCACGACTGGGGAGGATGCTCAGATTCACAGCATTTCACATGGTTCCTGATCCGGCTGACTCTGACTGTCTCTTGGGGTTGTTTGTGGAGACCACATGAACACCAGGCCAAACACTAACATTTTCACTTGGATGAATCGATTTAAACTACACTCGAATCTCAACTTTCATGGTATCAGGTATCTTGGTAATAAACTAGATCTCATGAAGAAACTTCTCTGAGAACAGGGAAGCACAGAAAAAGAAAAGTTAGGATTACTTGAGGCACAGAATAAAACACAAGGCAGCAAAAATCCTTGCCTGTATCTTTAGTGTATCATTTCTATTTTTTGGTCCTAATTTTCACCAGCTGAAAATTGCAAGTTTTGATTATATCTTGAAAAGTGTTAATGCTCTATATCTTTTCTAAAGAAGGTACTATATTGTTGCCTAAACTACTTCTTGTCAAGAGAAAGACCACTTCAAGAGAGATTTTGTGTGTGTGTGTGTGTGTGTGTGTGTGTGTGTGTGTGTGTGTATTAGTCTGCTGAAAAAGTAAACATGAACAACACCTACATCTTGGTTTATAATACTAACTTCACAAAAGGACCAAGCATTATTTAAAAATGGGTGATTCTAGAGATGAATTGGGGAATGTACAAGATGAACCTAGAACATACTGCTGTGCCAGAAAATAAAGACTTGCTCAGAGAATGATGGAGACATAACAAAAGGATACAACAGCCAGCATGAGAAATTCCCACTATCAACATTTAGGAGAATTTGAGCATCAAAATAAATAATGATAATAATGAAGTATAAGTCACTGAAGAAAAAAGTAATCCTTGAATCCACAGAGATATGCCTAAATAAAATAATGAATTGTAAGTCACTGAAGAAAAGAGTAATCCTTGAATCCATAGATATATACCTAAATAAATACATAATGAAATGGGGAGAAGAGGGAAGGAATAGCTCTTCCTTACCACAGAATGCCAACTAACAAATGTAGAGGAAATAATGGAATTGGAAAATAACAATTTGGCGTTTATTCACCATAATAATAATTGTTTCAGACGAAAAAGAATCATCAGTGGATGCTAAAACTGGTAGGTGCATAATTTTAAAAATAGAACATTTATATAGTCTCAGGGTAGCATCTCACAAAATAGCTATTAGTTACAAGGAAAAATAGAAACTATACAGAGGGGAAGCTTGGCAGACACTACTTTAAACAAGCGGTCAAAGTAAACATCATCTGTAATGGGACAAATCAACCACATGTGCTCATGTCTAAGTGTATGAAGCACTAATAAAGACAAAAACACCGTCCCTGTGGTATTCTTGCCCAAAGTGGATAAGCTAAATTTAATCAAAAGAAAATATCAGGAAGACCCAAAATGAGAGACATTCTTCAAAATAACTGACTAAAATCTTTTAAAAAACATAAAGGTCATGAAAGGCCAAGAAAGATCAAGGAACTGTTCTAGATTAAAGAAAACTCAATAGATTTGAAAACGAAATGAATCTTATTATTTTGACTGGATCCTGTAGCCAAGGTATTTGTCCCCTATTGCTATAAAGGGCACTGCTGGAACAACTAAACATTTTCAGTAAGATTTGTACATTGTTTTTACATTATTAATTGCCATTGTTTTAATTATACTGCACTGGTAGGCAGGAATATATATTTTTAGGAAATGCACACTGAGATATTAAGGAATAAAGTTGAATTATATCTGCAACTTAAATGATTTGGAAAAAAATGACTGGGTATATATAGTCTGTGTATAATAAAATATTAACATTTGACAAATCTCAATGAAGATATACAAAATTTTTTTGAAATTTTTGTGAGGTTGAAATTATTTAAAGATAAAAGGTTAACATTAAAACACTAAAAAAAATATGAAAGGCATGTTACCTGAGATTGAGAATACTTTATCTTCCTGCTTTTTATGATTTAATACTTTGACCTCCTCATCTTTATTATTTGAAAAGAAAGTTATAGAGACTTTTAATGAAGTCTTAAAAACTGATATTTTGGTCTCATCTTACTAAGAGGAATCCACAAGAAGTCTAAATTACATATATATCAAATGAAAACGTTGAATAAATCTTTATTTTTCAGTAATGATCTTAACCTTCACAACCTACAACCTTCACAATATACCTTCAAAATCCATTTCATTAATGGCAGCAGGATCTCAGAATGGCATTTCACGTCTTGTTCCAGAACCACTGTCTCAAATTCCTACTGTCTTTTTTAGGCATCCCAGAAAAACTGCAGCACTAGATAGGCAGAGTAGGATAGTGGGATTGAGCTTCCTTGCCTGAGAGTACTGATCAGTCACCTCCATAAATCCTGTTGGTCTCTTTTTAAAAAAAAAAAAAAACAATGATCAGCACTATATACAGATGGAATTCCAATAAAAAAGGAGCGGATGCAACAATATATTGTTTTACTTCCATGGATTATCTCCCCTAAAGAACATCATTGGAAACACTGTGTATGGGGGTGCAGGTGGGTATGCAGCATGGTATAGGGAAGGGAAAGAACGTGGAAATTGAAGTCAGACAAATCCTTATTCGTACTGAGGCAAAGTGTTTAATCACTCTGAACCTCAGTATCCTTTTCTATAAAAATAAGGAAACTAGTTATTTTAGGGGATATTTCGAAGAACCAATAAACTAACATGTGGAATGTGCTGTTTATTCTTTCTTTTCCCCTCCAGGTCTGTTCATCAGTTTTCTGCATCCCACTCTATGTCCTAGGAGACCAACCCTAAAGACTACTTTAACCAATCTCCCTTGCCTTGGGCTATTAGTTGGGTTCAGACAAATTGTGGCATAATCAGTTTAGAAGTTAGTAAGAGAAAGAAGGGGTAGGAAAAAATGGCGGATAGGAGGCAGGACTAAATTGCAGATCCAACTCATATGGGCAGAGCAGCATGTGGAGACTCACATTGTGAACTTTTGCTCCAAGAACTACTGCAGGAATATACTAGGAAAGCTAAGAAAATTCATAGACTCTTTGAAGGAAGTGGATTGTTGTTGCAGGACCTGGGAGACAGCCCAAATACTGTGCTGGTATCCATGGCTGAGAGACCTGAAGATAGTTCACATCCCAGGAATCTGCTAGATCCAGAAGAGAAATAACAATTACTACAGTTAAGCTCTCAGGAAGCCACATCTCTAGGAAAAGGGGGAGAGTATTACATCAAAGGAACAACCCATGGGCCAAAAGAATATAAACAGCAGTCTTGATCCCCAGATCTTCCCTCCGACATAGCCCACCCAAATGAAAAGGAACCAGAAAAACAATTCTGGTAATATGACAAAACAAGGTTCTTTAACACTCCCCCAAAAATCATACAAGCTCACCAGCAATGGAGCCAAACCAAGAAGAAATCCCTGAATTGTCAGAAGGTTGATTATCAAGCTAATCAAAGAGGCACAAGAGAAAAGTGAACTCCAACTTAAGAAAATTAAAAAAAAAAAAATGATACAAGATGTGAGGGAAGAAATCTTCAGTGAAATAGCATAAATAAAAATAAATCACAACTTCAGGAAATAAAGAACACACTTAGAGAAACGCAAAATGTACAGGAAAGTCTCAGCAATAGAATCGAACAAGCAAAAGAAAGGAATTCAGAGCTGGAAGACAAGGTTTTTGAAATAACCCAATCCAACAAAGACTTTAAAAAGATTTCAAAATGAACAAACTATCCAAGAAGTTTGGGATTATGTTAAATGACCAAACCTAGGAATAACTGGCATTCCTGAAGAAGAAGAGAAATTTAAAAGTTTGGAAAACATATTTAGGGGAAATAATTGAGGAAAACTTCCCTGGCCTTGCTAGAGAACTAGACATCCAAATACAAGAAGTTGAAAGAACACCTGGGAAATTTATCACAAAAACTTCAATACCTAGGCACATAGTCATCAGGTTATCTAAGGCAAGATGAAGGAAAGAATCTTAAGGGCTGTGAGGCAAAAGCAAAAGGTAACCTATTAAAAAAAACTATCTTATTAACAGCAAATTTCTTAGCAGAAACCCTACAAGCTAAAAAGGATTGGGGCCCTATCTTCAGCCTCCTTAAACAAAACAATTATCAACCAAGAATTTTGTATCCAGTGAAACTTAGCTTCATAAATGAAGGAAATATACAATCTTTTCCAGACAAACAAATGCTGAGAGAAATTTGCTGCTACCAAGCCAGCACTACAAGAACTGCTAAAAGGAGCTCCAAATCTCTTAACAAATCCTGGAAACACATCAAAATAGAACCTCTTTAAAGCATGAATCTCATGGGTCCTATAAAACAAAAATACAATTAAAAAAACAACAACAAGGTATTCAGGCAACAAATAGCCCAATGAACGGAATAGTACCTCACATCTCAATACTAACATTGGATGTAAATGGCCTAAATGTTTCACTTAAAAGATACAGAATTGCAGAATCAGTAAGAATTCACCGGCCAAGTATCTATCTATCTGCTGCCTCCGAGAGACTCACTTGACACATAAGGACTCATATAGACTTAAGGTAAAAAGGTGGAAAAAGACATTCCATGCAAAAGGACACCAAAAGCAAGCAGGAGTAGCTATTCTTATATCAGATGAAACAAACTTTAAAGCAACAGCAGTTTAAAAAGACAAAGAGAAACATTATATAATGATAAAAGGCTTTGTCCAACAGGAAAATATCACAATCCTAAATATAGATGCATCTAACACTGGAGCTCCCAAATTTATAAAACAGTTACTACTAGACCTAAGAAATGAGATAGACAGCAACACAATAATAGTGGGGAAGTTCAATACTCCACTGACAGCACTAGGCAGGTCAAAACAGAAAGTCAACAAAGAAACAACAGATTTAAACTATACCCTAAAACAAATGAACCTGATAGATGTTTACAGAACATTCTAACCAATAACCACAGAATATGCATTCTACTCATGAGCACATGGAAATTTCTCCAAGATAGGCCACAAAACAAGTCTCAATAAATTTAAGAAAATCTAAATTATATCAAGTACTTTGTCAGACAACAGTGGAATCAAATTGGAAATCAACTCCAAAAGGAACCTTCATAACCATGCAAATACATGAAAATTAAATAACCTGCTCAAGAATGATCATTGGGTCAATAATGAAATCAAGATGGAAATTAAAAAGTTATTTGAACTGAACAATAATAGTGACACAACCCATTAAAACCTCTGAGATACAGCAAAGATGGTGCTAAGAGGAACATTCATAATCTTAAATGCCTACATCAAAAAGTCTAAGAAAGCACAAATAGGCAATCTAAGGTCATGCCTCAAGGAACTAGAGAAACAAGAACAAACCAAACCCAAACCCAGCAGAAGAAAAGAAATAACCAAGACCAGAGCAGAACTAAATGAATTGAAACAAAAAAATACAATACAAAAATAAATGAAACAAAAAGCTGGTTCTTTGAAAAGATACATAAAATTGATAGACCATTAGCAAGATCAACCAAGAAAAGAAGAGAGAAAATCCAAGTGAACTCAATTAGAAACGAAATGGGAGATATTACAACTGACACCACAGAAATACAAAAGATCATTCAGGGCTACTACGAACACCTTTGTGCACATAAACTAAAAAACCTAGAGGAGATGGATAAATTCTTGGAGATATACAACCCTCCCAGTTTAAATCAGGAAGAATTAGAAACCCTGAACAGACCAATAACAAGCAGCAAGATTGAAATGGTAATACAAAAAATTACCAACAAAAAAATTCTAGGACCACATGGATTCACAGCTGAATTCTATTGGACATTCAAAGAATAATTAGTACCAATCCTATTGACACTATTCCACAACATAGAGAAAGAGGAAATCCTCCCTAAATCATCAAAGAAGCCAGCATCACCCTAATGCCCAAACCGGGAAAAGACATAACAAAAAAAGAAAACTACAGACCAATATCCCTGATGAACACAGATGCAAAAATTCTTAACAAAATACTAGCTAACCGAATCCAACAGCATATTAAAAAGATAATCCACCATGATTGAGTGGGTTTCATATCAAGGATGCAGGAATGGTTTAATATATGCAAAGCAATAAATGTGATACACCATATAAACAGAATTCAAAACAAAAATCACATGATCATCTCAATAGATGCAGAAAAAGTATTTGACAAAATCCAGCATCGCTTTATGACTAAAACCTTCAGCGAAATTGGCATACAAGGGACATACCTTAATGTAATAAAAGCCATCTACATAAACCCACAGCCAACATAATACTGAATGGGGAAAAGTTGAACATGTTCCCTTTGAGAACTGGAAAAGACAAGAATTACCACTCTCACCACTTCTATTCAACACAGAACTGGGAGTCCTAGTCAGAGCAATCAGACAAGAGAAAGAAATAAATGGCATCCAAATCAGTAAAGAAAAAGTCAAACTATTGCTGTTTGCTGATGATGTGATCGTATACCTACAAAACCCTAAAGACTCCATCAAAAAGCTCCTAGAACTAATATACGAGTTCAGCAAAGTTTCAGGATACAAAATTAATGTACACAAATCAGTAGCTCTGCTATACACCAACAAGGACCAAGCTGAGAATCAAATCAATAACTCAACACCCTTTACGTTAGCTGCAAAAAAAATTAAATACTTAGGAATATATCTAACCAAGGAGGTGAAAGACTGCTACAAGGAAAACTCCAAAACACTGCTGAAAGAAAACATAGAAGACACAAACAAATGGAAACACATCCCATGCTCCTGGAGGGGTAAAATCAATATTGTGAAAATGATCATATTGCCAAAAGCAAGCTACAAATTCAATGCAATTCCCACCAAAATATTCCCATCATTCTTCACAGAACTAGAAAAAACAATCCTAAAACTCATATGGAACCAAAAAAGAGCCTGCATAGCCAAAGCAAGACTAAGCAAAAAGAACACATCTGGAAGCATCACATTACCTGACTTCAAACTATACTATAAGGCCATAGTCACCAAAATATCATGGTGCTGGCATAAAAATAGGTACATAGACCAATGGAACAGAATAGAGAATCCATATATAAGCCCAAATACTTACAGCAAACTGACCTTCAACAAAGCAAATAAAAACATAAAGTGGGGAAAGGACACCCTAGTCAACAAATGGTGCTGGATAATTGGCAAGCCACAGGTAGGGGAATGAAACTGGATTGTCATCTCTCACCTTATACAAAAATCAACTCAAGATGGATCAAGGACTTAAATCTAAGACCTGAAACTATAAAAGTTCTAGAAGATAACATTGGAAAAGACCCTCTAGGCATTGGCTTAGGCAAAGGCTTTATGACCAAGAACTCCCCAAAAAAGCAAATGCAACAAAAACAAAGATAAATAGGTGGGACTTAATTAAAAAGCTTCTGCACAGCAAAAGGAACAGAGTAAACAGAGAGCACACAGAATGGGAGAATATCTTCACAATCTATACATCCAACAAAGGACTAATATCCAGAATCTACAAGGAACTCAAAAAATTAGCAAGAAAAAAATTAACAATCCCATCAAAAAAGTGGGCTAAGGATATGAATAGACATTTCTCACAAGAAGATATACAAATTGCCAACAAACATATGAAAAAATGCTTAGCATCACTAATGATCAGGGAAATGCAAATAAAAACTGCCATGTGATACCACTTTACTCCTGCAAGAGTGGCTGTAATTAAAAAAAAATAGATGTCGGTGTGGATGCAGTGAAAAGAGAATACTTTTACACTTCTGATGGGAATATAAACTAGTACAACGACTATGGAAAACAGTGTGGAGGTTCCTTAAAGAACTAAAAGTGGAACTTCCATTTGATCCAGCAATCACACTACTGGGTATCTACCCAGAGAAAAGAAGTCATTATACGAAAAAGATACTTGCACATGCCTGTCTATAGCAGCACAATTCTCAATTGCAAAAATATGGAATTAGCTCAAAAGCCTATCAATCAACAAGAGGATGAAGAAATTGTGATATATCTATATGGAATGGAATACTACTCAGCCATAAAAAGGAACAAATTAATGGCATTCACAGCAACCTAGATGGAACTGGAGATTATTATTCTAAGTGAAGTAACTCAGGAATGGAAAACCAAACATTGTATGTTCTCACTCATAAGTGGAAGCTCAGCTATGAAGATGCAAAGGCATAAGAATGACACAGTGGTCTTTGGGGAATCAGGAGAAATGGTGTGAGGGGGATGAGGGATAGAAGACTACAAATTGGATTCCGTGTATACTGCTCAGGTGATGGGTGCACCAAAGTCTCACAAATCACCACTGAAGAACTTACTCATATAACCAATACTACCTGTTCCCTCCAAAATCAATGGAAATAAAAAAAAATTTGAAAGAAGAATTTAGTAAGTTAGTAAGAAGTTAGCAAGTGAAAGAGATGTGGTATTTATTCCTCAACCTCCCTCCTTGCGAAGCCATTGTTTGGCAGTGGCTACGTGACCTAAGGCTGCAGTTCCTGGTGGGTAGTCCTTCTACAGCCCCCAGCTTTCATAGGTGAGGGCAATTCTTCGCCAGTTCCACCCTCTTCCTCACTAAGGGTGATACTAACTTCCCACTTCTGCTTTTCCCAAGGTGCTTCACCTTTTCTTTATTGCTTCCCTGATCTTGCTTTGTAAAGAGTTCCTTCATTGAAGTTTCCTCAATTACGCCTTTGCCATGTGCCATCTGCTTGATGCTAGGATGTGGACTGATTCGAGAACAATTCTGGCACTCAAAGGAGGTCAGCTTTTTTGGTTTTTTTGTTTTTTGTTTTTTGTTTTTGAGATGGAGTCTTGCTGTGTCACCCAGGCTGGAGTGCAGTGGTGCAATGTCAGCTCACTGCAAGCTCCGCCTCCCGGGTTCACACCATTCCAAAGGAGGTCAGTTTTACAACCCTTACCTCATCCAGCAGTGTTGTCGAGCTTAAGAAACCTCATATTAAGAGAGGGACAAGCCTCAAATTGCTCTTTGAAGTCAGAGGGATACTATAATTATGATGATTCAACTTCTTAATAATAAAATTATTTTTAAGAACCACCTTAAAGGTTAATGATTGGACATGGGATCAGGCCCCTAAAAAAATAAATCCAGTCCAGATTTTATCCACATGCAGTCCCGTGGCCCTTGTGTAGAAAAGATAAGTTGGATCATAGTTAATGTACCATTTATTATGGATTAGCAATAATGTTCCTTAATATTTTTTTATAACAGCCTCAGGCAGATGGGAAAAGAAAAGGAGCAAATCGGTTTAATATAGTAAAACTTTATCATTATTGACCTTCCAGAAGGATTTCATGCCTATGATCTTATTTGTTTTCTTAGTTTTTACATCAACAGATTTTATAATGTCTGAAACCCACCTCAATTTGATCCTTGTTCCTGGCATTTTCCCTCTCATGCATCAAACATCTGGGAGCATTTTACAAGGCTTTCCTGTAATCTGCCAAACTACACACACATGTGCCTTTCAGGAGTCCAATTTTCCCCTCCCAGTAATTGGCCAATGCAGAGAAACAAAGTATCATTTTATTTTACATAATGGCACTATGTAAAATGATTCACTAATTCAGTACTGAAAAATAATAATCACAAGTTGGAAGATTTAAAAACACATGTGAGAAGATAGCACCCAGGGAAATCCAAGCTCTCAGTGCTTACACAAGCTCGCTCTTGCCCCCTGCAGTTTGCTAAGAGACAAAAGAATATTTTATAATTAGCCTTGTGTTTTGCTTGCAAACTTTAGCCAAAATGTTCATTTGCCTTATAAGGAGCTGTCAGTACCTCCAGGAATACACCACACAACAGTATTATTTAGAAACAATTTTGCTTCCATATCACGTAACAAATATGTCTTTGTTCTTCCTTTGTCTCCACTTCTTAATAGAGAAAATTGTCTAGGAAAAAAAAATGCAACCTACTACTTAATATGAATTAATATCTTTTGTTCCTCTTACAATTTAAAATAAATGTCCACATAAAAGAAAAATACATCAATAGCTAATACATTTCCCTGATTAATAATACAATTATGAACAATAGAATTCATAAATAAATAAATTAGACAAGCTTATCTTGTCACCTGCAGTTTCATTCTACTAATGAGATTGCTGAGAAAACTTCCCTTCAAGAGACTAACAATTCAGCACCCATGCTATTGGACAGTACCCTCTCAGCAAGCACCCACACAAAACCACCCAACCAAACAGAAATTGAGGAATGAAGCATAATTTTCTATGGTGACTAAGATCCCCATAATTCAGTGCCTTCAGCATCACCTTCCAACACCCTACCACACACTACTCTTCTGTGCCTTAAACAAATAAAAACCTACTCTCCTTTGTCACCCTAATGATTCGAGATAAATTTTCAAACAAATCCCAGTTCCTTGCCACTTTTCAAACCTACCTCTGCAGTGGATTACCCATGTTAATAAGGAATTTAGGGAAGAATTCAGCGTTTTTGCCTGTTTAAAAAGGTGAATGGACTAAATCTCACCCCAAATGAATTAAATGAAAACGAATGGATTTCTTTATTAAGATGACATGTTTTCATTTGTATTTCAGAGTTGGTACAAACTCCCTATGCTGTCAATTCCAAGTATAAATTCATACTTTTAAGTCTTTCCAAACACTGTATGGTCCTCAAGTCAGTAAGAGTTCATTCTATCTTGGGGCATCTGTGATCATCAGACAGGTCTTTGTAGTATCAGAGATTAATAAATCTTAGTTCCTTGCTATAAGCAAGACTTTAATTTCATTACAGAGCTATTTGAAGACAGCTAACAAAAGAACACTACCTATTTCTTATAACATTCCTTGTATGTATCACTCTTTACTTACCATTATGCAGTCAATCCACTGAACCCATTTCCATTTCTGTGGCTCAGAAATGAACCATAATATTCTAGGTTTTGTGTTGACCACAGCAAAACAGAAACCATTCCCTATCTAATTCTAGACATTATGTTTCTACCAAAGTTACTAGTTGCAATAAGAGCTTTTGCAGGTTTAGCACACAGAGCCTTAAGCTCACTGCCAATTACAATTCCCATATAGAGAACCGTGTACTCTTCCAAGGTGGCATGCTCTTGGCTAGGAACACTTTGAGCAGAATTTATCCTTATCCACTTTTATCTTTTTAGTATCATCCATCATTTCAATCTGTAAAGATTTTTTTAAATATCAATTATATTATCCTAATGTGTTGTAGTATCACATTATACAGGAAGGGACAATCGTTTCTATAGTTACAGCTAATTTTTTTTAATACATAAAAGTTCTCTAATAGGACAGAATTTGAGGTAATGCCATGGGTGTAAATCCCCATCAAGGTTAATTAATATCCATTAATCAGCGTATTTTGAATATATTCCATCAATGAACAACAATTGCATGGAATTATACTGTTATTTAGCCCGTAAGTCTTCATATCTTCCCATAAATACAGGATGAGAGGCTTGACAAAGATTTGTTCATTTATTATATTTATTGATTACTTCCTATGCATCAGGCATTATTCTAGGTGCTAGGGATTCAGCTTTAAATAAGACAGATAAAATTCCTTCTCCCATGGATTATACATTCTAGCTGGAGGAGACAGATAATACTAAATTAGAGGCCTTACAGTAGGAGTGGCTAGAAATGCTACTTTAGGCAATGTGGTCATGAAAAGTCTTGCTGAGATGGTGAAATTTAAGCTGAGATTATGACATTTAAGCTGAGACTTGAATGTCAAAGAGGAGCCAGCTATGCAACCATCTGTAGAAAATGCATGCCAGACAGAGGAACAACTAGTGACAAATTTTAAGTTAGAACTGATGCGTCTCAGGCTGTTAGAGAAACAGAATATCTGGTCGACATCCAGGTAAACAAATTCTGCTTTCTTTGATCCACTGACCATTTACCATATAAAAGTAAAATGAAATAGGATTAGAACACGAGTAATTCGCAAAAGTATTATGCTGAGTGTAAAAAACTAAATGGAAAATGAGTACATACCATATGATTCCATTGACATAAAATTCTAAAAATGCAGGCTAATATTTAGGGACAGAAAGCAAGTCAGTTGTTGTCTGGGGATACTGGAGTAGAGTGACGAATGAATTACAAAGGAACTTGATATTTGGTGTGATGATGGGAATAACTGTGATTGTGGTGATAGTTTTATGCATATATATAGATATATAGATATGCCAAAATCATCCAATTAGTATTTCAAATATGTGCAGTTTATTATGTATCAATTGTGCCCGCCTCGTTAAAGCTATAATAAAATCAGGTTTGTTTGAACATTTCACTTCATAGGGAAATATTTGGTAGTTTGAGTAATGTTTGATTCATTTTCTAAGAACCTAATAAACCTCCCTTGATAATCCATCCCATGCCCTCCTGACATCTGCATCACACTCACTTGCGTATATTCGGGAGACTATACCACTTTCTCAGTTTTGGACAGTAAAACAATATTTGCTCAACTTCAGTTTGCAAATAAGCCTCCTCAAATACCTTGGAAAAGAGTTAGATAACTTAATTTGCATATGATTTCAGAATTGCATTTTAATTCAGACAGTTTGAAAACCCTGAATTCATTCAGAGTTCCCTCTCTCACCTTGACCTCTGTTCCTTCTTGGCAAGTTTCTTCTAGTCTCCTCCTTCCCTTCTTTCTCCTCCCTTGTCCTCCCCACCCTTCTCCTCCTCCTCTTTCTCAGTCTAAATATCATCTTTATGTTGTGAAGAAAGCAGCATCCAAGGGTCAGAGAGGACCTCCCTCCTCAAGCATCAATCCCCTGCAGCACCAAGCAATGTGCCTTCCCCTTTAGCTGCATTCATACATGAAACAACGACATGCGCTTGTTGTTTCTCCTGGCATTAGTTTTATAAATTCCAACTTTTTAAGGAAGTTTCATACTCTGTTCTCATTTCATGCCCTGTTCTCATTTCTGCTGCTAACAAAAGTTAGGGTCTTGGGGAAGACAAAATCTCTGTGTTGCTGATGGAATTAGTAACAACTATTTTACTGGATATAGGGGAACTGTGCCTGGGATATGATTTACAAATGCTGAGAGGTGATTGTACTGACCTGGCTGCCAGTGTGTATGGGTCTCTCACACTCTCAATATTTCAGTGTATATCTGAGGACACTCATCGAGGGGCTATAAATAGAAACACCTGAACATAGTGAAGAATTATATAAATTAAAATTATTGTAATCATTATGTACACTTTGGAAACTCAACAAAAACGTGCAGATTTAAGAATTCCCATCAATCTACTCCATAGCAACTTGTGGAACTAACTTAGCCTATGCTTTACTCTTATGGCACTCATACTTCTGCTTTGAAGCTGTAGATTTGTCTATTCACAGGCCATGATTTTTGAAATCACTCATGACTATATTAAAATATTACATAGTATTCAGCCATATAATCATCCTATCCTTTCACTCTGATTCTCCAAGGTTTCAGGTTAGATTCTGTCAATCTATTTGTTGGATTTGGAAGCAGAAGAGAAGAGGCCATTGTTCTTGGGTAGGGGGCATTTGTGTCAGATGGATGGGCAAGCAGCAGACATGAGGGTCTAATTAGCTTTCAGGCAAGCCTCAGCCAGACACCTTCTTCTTGGTTGTTGGCTACAGAAACAGGTGAGGGCAGTTACTTCAGAAGTTCTCCAGCCGACTTTGCAGACAGAGGTGCCTGACAAGAGTGTCTTAGAAGTTCTTGAGGCTCACAGCAGCTTCTAGGTGTGCTCTTGAAAATGGCCAACTTTTCTATTGAAGGTAAACTGGCCACAGAGTTCTTGCCTTTGTTTCCATATATAGCCTTTTCAATGCCTTAATAAACCTCTAATTCCCTTTTTTTTGCCATTGATATCTGGAATTCATAGAGCAGCTTGTTTTCCTGACAAAACCCTGACCGGTGCAAGGATAAGTTAGAAACCAGAGATGAATGATTTTACAAAACCACATCCACTGTTCAAATGGGAGTAGTGGTTAAACATTCTGGTCTTAGAGTCTAACTGCCAGAGTTCAAAACCCAGCTTCATCACTTACTAGCTGTGTGGGCTTAGGCAAGTTATTTAAACTAGCTGTGTGGGCTTAGGCAAGTTATTTAAGCTCTCTGTGCCTCAGTTTCATCTCTGTCCAATGGGATATGTATAATTATATTATGTATCTCATGACTATTTGTTGTGAGAGATGATAAAAATTCATATGAATAAAAACTTAGAGGCCAGGCATGGTGGCTCATGCCTGTAATCCCAGCACTTTGGGAGGCCAAGGCAGGCAGATCACGAGGTTAGGAGTTCAAGACCAGCCTGGCCAACATGGTGAAACCTTGTATCTACTAAAGATACAAAAAATTAGCTGGGCGTGGTAGCACACACCTGTAATCTCAGCTACTCGGGAGGCTGAGGCAGGAGAATCACTTGAACCCAGGAGGCAGAGGTTGCAGTGAGCCGAGATCATGCCATTGCACTCCAGTGACAGGGCAAGACTTCATCTCAAAAAAAAAAAAAAAAAAACTTAGAATATGCTAAGCAGTCAATAAACATCAGTTACTATTATCAGTAGTGCCATTAACTCCTATTTTTCTGATGGGGATACCAAATTCCCTGGTGTCTATTTCTTCACACACTAACATGTGAGAGGTTAAAAACTAGCTAAGACTGGAATGCAAATCACTTCTAGGTCCTCAGCACTTCACTGATAGGAGATGGAGTCAATTCAAACTCTCCAGGCCTTCTTTAAAAAAACTAGATCAATCCTTTAAAAAGCAAACATTCAATAGCCAATATCATGTAGACCTAAAAAATCATTGCATGTCCTTTGCTGAGAGTGGGGAGGAGAAGTTTCTTTCACTTTTTCTAGGTTGACCACAAGTAATTAAATACATAAAGATCAAGAACAACAACAAAGGCAGGCTAACTAGTTTTGCTTCCTGACCTGGAACATCTAGTGGGTGAAAAGTTTAGATCATTGGGACTTACTTTCACATATATTTCCCTATAGTGGAGGATGTTACGATCTTTGTACTGAAATTACAGGAAGTCAGCTCTTCGGTAAAGAACAGTGATTTATATAGATCACATTTTATGGACTAATTTTTCCACTTCATCCTGGAAACTGTTTTATGAATATATTTTCAGAATCATTTGCAATATGTTTCAGAAATAAAAGAGAAAAAGCTTTGATTCAGTGACCAACATTTGAATCACTGATCAGTCATATAATACTGATTTGGCTTTTATCAAACATTTAGCATCATAAACCTCCTTTTATTTATCTATAAAATAGTATTAATCATAATAGTAATAATAATAATGACTTTCTAAACTTGCTTTAAGATAATGCCTATCAAATCTTTATCACACTTCCAGGCACATGGTATTCTATATCATTATCGTCTCTTCCTTCTACTTATTTTATTACTCACTGGCAAAGCACAGGGAGCTAGTCAGCTTTTCTGATTCAAAGCCACATAATAAAATGATGAATGCTAAGTCATCATAAACTTATTGACTCTAATTTAGTTTCCATTCCTATTGTACTGAAACAATATTGGCTTATGCTAAGTTATCTTCGTTTTCCAATAGGCTCATCTCTCACCACAAATAGAATCAGTAAGTCTATGATGAGCTATCACATGACCGAAGATATTTTTCTGGCTTACTAGAACATACTTGAGGTCTGAATTGGACAAATCTGT
The DNA here is from genome assembly GCF_000001405.40 of Homo sapiens. Lineage (NCBI taxonomy): Eukaryota > Metazoa > Chordata > Mammalia > Primates > Hominidae > Homo > Homo sapiens. The sequence goes on along the minus strand of NC_000015.10, from coordinate 86,685,258 downwards.
CTAAAGAAACTAAAAGGACCAAGCAGAGGTAATCACTTCTTTCTCCTGAGGTGTCCATGTCCAGAAACAGAAAATAGTACCTATTGACATTCCTGGTAAGAACATTTAAGCCCCTTGTAAAGGGTCGTCTTGTATCGGATTCTACTTTGGATGCTAGATGTTGGTTTGATATTTTCCACACATCTTGATATCTACTTCTAAACATACCTCTTTGTTCCCATCTTTTTCTCATTGCTTGTTTACAACTCCTTTCTGTTACCCATGCACTAGTAAGGCTTCTGTTTCTTTATCATCTATCCAGTCAACATAAAAATAAAATTTAATTTTTATTCAGTCAAATACAAGCTGTTTGCCACTTAGCATAATTCAACTGCTTTGCCTTTTGTATCTTGAATTCAGGGTTGCAACTCTACTACTGATGTTAGAATGTGAGGGTGTCAGTAGCTGTACCTTTGAGAGTAAATGCAGGATATTAGATCCGAAAGGAGATTCCCTAATGTTAAAGCCAAAAAATCTGAGAGTAAACAAGTTAAGACAACGCCATAGATTCACAGAGCTTGTCATCCCAGAAATACTTTGAATCAGAATTGAACTTCCTTGAATTTAAGCCTTATGTCTGTGATCTAAACTATGCTACGGGTCAGGTGTGGTGGCTCACATCTGTAATCCCAGCACTTTGGGAGGCCAAGGCAAGAGGACTGCTTGAGCCCAGGAGTTTGAGACCAGCCTGGGCAACATAGTGAGATCCTGTCTCAAAAACAAAAAGAAATAGAAGAGAAAAAAGAAAAAAAAAAAGAGAGAACTATGCTAGGTACTAACTAAAGTGAGGACTTCATGGAAATTTACAGGACAGCAAAAGCCATGATAGACTATTTCATCTTGGGTACAGTAGAATGTAGCCAGGGTTCTTTACTTCCTTCCTTCCTGAGAGGGGGCAACTTGGCAATTGGCAAAGATAAAGAAATCAGGTAAAAATGTGGAAATGTTCACAGAAACTTTAAAAGGCACCATCTTTCTTCTAAATCAGTAATCTAAGCTCATGATCTTTCAAACCAAAAAATGTAAACATTCTAAGATGCTTTTTATCCCCATAACGATCTGTTAGTTCAAATGCCTTGATTTCTTCTCCTGTTCATTAGCCTCCCTCCCTCTTTCCTTCCCTCCATCCCTTCTCTCCTTTGCCTTCACTATTGTATTTACACTTTTGTTTTCCTCTAGCACATCTGGTAGATTTGCTCTCACCAGTAAAATGGCTTTGACCTAAAGGACTAGCTCTTCGGTAAGAGCCATAGGTGTCACAGGGTACTTAATAAAAAGAAATAAGAATTAGATAGAAAGAAGAGAAAGCGGTAATGATGTAAAATTAATGAAAAGTTATTGAGTTAACTTAGACCACCCATGCCAGGCTATTTGAAGCCTTCTTAAATGACAACAACTGCTCCTGTTTGGGAAAACTTCAAAAGTTTTATTTGCCTTCCATTTTTAGAATTGACAACAAAAGACAAGGGCTGGGAAGGGCTGCAGTTGCTATAGAGAGTAGTAAGAGTGAGTTTCTTGATTGAAATCCTTTTCCAGGGGCTGGTAGCCTATTCTATTTTCAGGTATTTATAGTTTCATAGGCAAGAGACCTGCCGTTCATTTGGTTGAGCCTGAGGCAGAGGTGAATGAGATCCCCCATGTTGACTGGCAATGTGTAAATCACTTAACTACACCTAGCAAGTCACTTAGATTCCCTGGACTCCCATGGAGTCACTTGTAAAATAGGCATTATTTTAGGTTAACTTTCATGGTTGTTATTAGGTGGTAACATTTTGGAAGCAGCAAATGCAGTATGAAGAAAATGTACTTTCACTCCTTGGCATGTGCAATCTTTTTCTCTTTTCAATTCACCATGGGTTACAACACATTCAACCTATAATGGTATACATTAATCTTCCCTGAATAGTATTAAAACAATCAAGGGATATTTATGGTCCAAAATGAACCCAAGTCGTTTGAGTTTTAAAACTTACCCAGAAACACACACAGATATACATGTACCCAATACATACGTTAAGGAACTATAAAGAGAAATTAATAAAACTAAATTAAATTTAGATTATACATTTAATGCCCCCCCATCTGTCAGTTTTTTGTGTTGCTGAACTCGTAATCAGCATGTGTACACCATTAATTACTCTGCTTTGCTTTTCATCTATTATTCAAAAGGCTAAATATAACAAAGGATAAGAACTTGAGCCATGGAGTTAGGCAAAAGTAGATTCAAATGCCAGTGCAGTCCCTTAAATATAGTCATGACATTTGGCAAACTTATTAGCCTCTATAAAACTTAATTTCCTTGTTGGTAAAAAGGGAATGTTAATGGAAGCATCTACTACATGGGATTATTTATAGGATTAAGAGAGATAATATTTATAAAATGCTTAGCACAGCATCTAGTTCATGGTAAGGCCCTAATAAATGTTTGCTTTATTATTATCTTATATATAAATTGACATACTTATTATTTTCATGGTAGTATAGTAATTCAGAAAATTAATCAATAATGTTCTTTTTTTACTGCTAAGAATTTGAGTTGTTTAAAATTTTGTGGAGAAATAAGTACTATTTATATAAATATGTGCATAATAAATATTCTTTTCTGTTATGTTTATTGTCTTGAGTAATATTCTGTAAGCTGTAAACAGAGGATCAAATGAGAGATTTTTATGGGCCTTTTTACAAACTGCCAAATTGCTCTCCAGAGAAAAGTAAATCAATTTACCAATAGCTTCATGATATTATTAAACCTCTTTCTTCACAGAAATGTGAACACTGGGTTTTCACTATTTTAATTTATCTATTATAGAAGAATCAGCATAAAATCATACCAAAAATATTTGATTTTGCTTTTAACAGCTAATGAAACAAGGTTTTTGTTTGTTTGTTTTTTGCTATTGTTTTCCCAGCCTAAAATTAGCACTTCTTCTGGCCAATCAGTTCATTTCCCTTGACCAGTTAGGGAGCCATTTAATGTTTTAAAGCAGGATATGGTACTCATAATCTATAATAATTCCCAGGCGGAGTTCCATTCCAACATTTCCCAACATGTAGCATTTATTTGCCTGCAACTATAGAAAGAAGCTAAGAATAGTCTCAGATATTTCATACTATGCGCTAATTTTTAAAATCTGAATAGAATTAAGACAACAGCAGATAATTAAAGAGAGCTATTACCAGAATAGTCACGTAGCATTAATTTGGAATTGATGGAAACAGAAAGTTAACTTGAAACTGAAGATTCTACTAAGACTCCATCCTTCGCTTTACTGTAATGGGATCTTTATGGAAACCATTGTCTCCAATCCCAAATTTCCCATTTTGGCCCATAGACATTAGTAGGGCACTTTCCATCTTCATTCACTTCTCCATGCCTGCTCTCCTTAACCTCTCCAACACAATCACCCAACTTTGTACTCTCAGGTAAAAGCCAAAATACCATGAATTCTTGAAGAGAAAGCACCACCTAAATCACGTTACTTTCTATTAAAACAAGAGGACCTCTCTACATCCAGCTAGACCATAAAAGGGCTTAAAGAACATATAAACTCTTGATTATTGACTAATTGTAAGTCATGATAGAGCTCTCATGATTCAAAATGAATAGACCAAAAGAAAATGAGGAAAAGAAGTTGGAAGAGCAGAAACAGGTAAGAAGCACAACCTAGAGGTGGTGAAACATCCTGCAAAAGTACAAGGAGGCCAATGCCTTTCCAGAAGCTTGGCAGTGGTGCACTTCAGGGGAATGACTAGCCACAGGACACAGGAGGCTGTATAAAGGTATCTGGAAAGTTGTTTTTCAAAAAGGAATCTATGGGACGATAAATGAAAAGATAACTGATCCAAATGGAAAGTGAGCTGGCAATAGTACAAACATGAATAAAAGGAAACTCATGAAAGATGAGGAATAGGTGCAATGAAACCTAAATGTAAAGTCACCAAAATTAAAATATGTTATCAGCAAAGAGCAGAGAGTCCATGCTGCAGAAAATTGAATGTGTGAGGGCAAACTTGAGACATACTTCCAGAATTTGATGAATTGGGGCAAGGAGGTAAAAAGGATTAAAGAAGAAGAGATAACAGATACAGAGGTGAGAAAACAGATAACAAACACTTCAGAGGAAGATAAATGAAGACGTGGGGTGGCATCACTGATCCTTTATAATTGAGACATGTTTCAAGAGAATAGAATGTTCATATTCAAAATCAATTAAAGGAACTAAACCACACACACAAGAGAAAAGAAAGAAGTGAGGAAAGAAAGAAATATTTTTGATGTAGTAGAGAAATAATTTTTGTTTTAGGGAACACAGAGAAACTACTACAACTATGAAGGTAGAAAAGACAGGGTGCGGCCAGGTGCAGTGGCTCACGCCTGTAATCCCAGCACTTTGGGAGGCTGAGGTGGGTGGATCACTTGAGGTCAGGAGTTCAAAACCAACCTGGCCAACATGGTGAAAACCTGTCTCTACTAAAAATATAAAAATTAGCCACGCATGATGGTGGGCACCTGTAATCCCAGCTACTCAAGAGACTAAGGCAGGATAATCCCTTGTACCCAGGAGGCAGAGGTTGTAGTGAGCCAAGATTGCCCCACTGCACTCCAGCCTAGGTGACAGAGAGACCCCCATCTCAAAAAAAAAAAAAAAAAAAAGAAAAGAAAGAAAGAAAGAAAAAAGAAAAGAAAAAGAAAAAACAGGGTGCATACAAAGAAAGAAAAATTAGGCTGGCTACCATAAGATTACATACCAGAGTAAATTTGGCCACGTCTACATTGTTTTAATGTGTTACCCATAAAATCTCTAGGCAGGGAAAGTAGAATTCCTAGGTAAAGGGAAGAGAAGGATATTCACATATGTATTAATATGCAAAAAACTCCATTGATTTACATTTTAAAAAAGAAAAGCTACTTTTAAGGTGCTCTCTGAAAAATGTAAGATGAATCAACATTGAGAAAAAAGAATGAGGACATGATTGCATACAATGGGTAGAGATGAGCAATGCAAGTCATTAAACACAAAGTTGAATTTTAAAATGATCTGAATATGATTATAAGACAATTTAAATGCCATAGATAATTCTTATTTGGGAAAATTAACATTGGAAAAATAATATTTTTGTTTCAAATAAATAGAACACAGATGATTTTACAGGCAGTATGTACATGTTCAAGGTGCAGATGTATCCTACCTAGGAAATTTAAAGTGTTCCAGGTCATAGAACAATAGAAACCAAGCACAGACTTCACTCACTCACAAATATAGGCACAAAACTCCTCAATTCACAGTAGGTAATATCAATCTCTACATTAAAATAATATTTCAGATCACAGCCAGATACATTTTCCTTAGAAATGTAAAGATAGCTGAATATTAGAAAATCTATAAGATTTTATTAATTCAAGTAAATAGTTATTTTTCTAGATACTAAAGAATCTTTTGATAAAATTAATCATCTAATCTGGACTTTGTTAAATTAATAAGCTAAGAAAATATAGTAATAATGGAGAAGATATCAAATATTAATATCAAACCAAGAGCCATTTCACTTAATTCTTAAATGCTTAGAGTCATTCTCATTTTGAAGTTAGGTTTATGGTGAGGATGCTCATAAATGCCTCAGCCTTAAACATTAGTCTCAAAACTCTAGCCCAGATCATAAGATAAGAAAAAGAAGTAAGCAAAGCTGATGGTCAAAAATTATAAATGATACTGTTTTCTATCCAGAAAAACAGAAAAATCCCTGGAAATACTTTTAGGTATAACTAGAGAGTTCACTGAAGTTACAAATAAATATATAAATAACCCAGAAATTTCCTATATAACTAAAACAAGCACTTAGAAGCAATGTAGTGAAAAATACACATTTTTTAGATGAACAAAACTTTTTTAAATATTGAGATTAAAAGTTTATGATGATATATTCAGGAACTACATAAAAAGGATACGAACAGAATCCCTACAATACTTTACTGATGAACATCAAAGCAGATCTGAATCAGTAAATAAAAATATCAGATTTTATAAAAGTAACATAGACGAGCACTCAATAGACCAAAAATATCTATAATTTAATATTACCTGAGTTAAAATCCCAGTGGGTTAGGTTTTGGCAGCTAACAACTCATTATAGAGTGCATCAGTGAAAATAAAGAAGAGAATGCAGCAAAACACATTTTTAAACAAATACTAATGAGGTGGTGTTTGCAACATCATACATTTAGATTACAAAGCTACAGTATTAAAAGCTACGTGCTCTTGGCAGGCAGACTAATGGAACAGAATACAAATCCAAAAAATATACCCAGTTATATGCATGTGTATATACTATATAATAAACCGGCATTACTAATCCGTGATAAAAGGTGGATTACTTAAAAATACAAAATGATTCAATAGTAAAAATGGAAAATAAATTATAATATGTAAATATACTCACTATAAAACTACCTGCCTACCTCAGTTCAATAACAGATAGATAAACAGTGGGTGTGAATTTATCTGTTATTAAACCGAGGTAGACAGGTTTATCCAAGGTAAGAGAAGCAAAGAAAAGAATTGATAAACATAATTACTTGAAAGCAAAAATATTCAATGTCAATAAACCATATAGAAAATGTGAAAGGTAAATGACAATTTGGGGAAAATATTTGCAGCATACAAGACAAACAGAAGTTGAGTACCTTTAACACAGAAATTAAAATTAAATGTAAATATAACTTTTTTAAAAAAAGGGATGGTTAACAGAATAATGCACAAAGACGTGATTAGGAAATTTATAAAAAATACTCCTCATGATATAGAAGGATTTTTATCTGCATCAGAAAACATCAAATTCTAAATTAAAACAGCACCCCATTTTCTCCTAAAAATGGCAAAAGTTTTAAAATAGGAACAAGTGTTTATAAAGCTGCAAAAAAGGAGAACTTATAGCACATTGTTTTTGAGAGTACTGTATGTCTATTTATCCATAGGTAAAAAATATAACCTAGGAATAAGTTCAAATAATTTATTGCCAGCATGGTGAATATAGTTAATGACAATATATAACATTCTTGAGAAATGATAGAAGAGTGGATGTTAAATGTTCCCACCACAAAAATAACTTTGTGGGGTGATACATAGGTTAATTACTAGACTTAGCCATTCCACAATGTATATGGGCTGCAAGGCATCATATGGTACACAATAAACACATACAATTTTATCTGTCAATTTAAAACAATAAATTAAGTTAAAAACAGAAAAATAATTTAGGATATTTCGCCATAATGCTGACAGTAGTTATCTGGATGCTGAGACAGGGATAGGGGCGCTTTTGTCTGTCTTCCTAATTTCATTTTCTCATTCAAAAGAACAAAATTATACTTTTACAAATGAAAATCAAGCACCTTTTTAATTATTAAACTTTTTTTTCTAATATCTATGTAGAATTTTTATTCTTTTAGTGTTGTCCGTCAAACAAACCTAGTTTATGTAGATACTAAGGTGAGCCCAGGCTAAAGCAACAGGACTATAATTTCGGAGAACACGGGAGGTGTTGAGCCATTGCTGAGGCACAGCTCTGAAGCTCTGAGCTTTAGCTTTCTCTTGTTATTAAGTGAGGGACAAATGGAGGTGGGGGGCTCGGCTGAGAAGAGCAAGAGGCAGTGGAGGGATACAAATCGAGACGAACAGTGGCTGACTCGGCAAAACTTAAGTGACTTTGCAAAAGACCTGTCACAATGGATAAACGGCTCCTCCTGAAGAAGCAGCTTAGCATTCCTGCAGTGCACACACAATTATTTCCAGGGATAAGATTGAGAGGAAGGAGAAAGGAAGAGGAGAGGAAAGATCAAAAGATGCTTTCGTGAGTATGCAGACATTTCTGAAATGAGCAACTGGGAAGAAGAGGACTGCAAAAGGAAACCAAAAACAAAGCATGCATGTACTTCATTTTCAGCGTCAGCCACCAGGCAAACATCCGCTATCTCTGCTCTTCCTCTGCTCTTGAAAAATGTTGAGTTGCTCTGTGGATATTGAGTACACTCTAATTGTTTTTATGGTAAATGAAGCATGAAACCTATTGTCAGAAAACATGATGTCCACAGTGTGCAGCCACACTTTGTCTTCCTGGCTGATCACTCCCAAGGAGTTAATGCTGTCTGTGGGCCTAGGAGAGGATGCAGTACCACATCCTTGCATTTTTTTTGTTGTTGTTTGTTTGAGACAGAGTCTCCCTCTGTCGCCCAGGCTGGAGTGCAGTGCCATGATCTTGGCTCACTGCAACCTCCGCCTCCCAGGTTCAAGACGGGGTTTTACCATGTTGGTCAGGCTGGTCTTGAACTCCTGACCTCGTGATCCACCCGCCTCAGCCTCCCAAAGTGCTGAGATTACAGGCATGAGCCACCGCACCCAGCCATTCTTGTAGTTCTTTAGGGCAGACCTTTGGAGAAGAGCCCCCTCACCCACAATGTTATTCACAATTCCTTCCACGCAACAACAATACAAATCTTCTTGTAGGATGCTGGAAACCCTGTTATGTCAAAGAAAGAGGCAGGAGGAGAGGAGGGTGGTAGAGGTCTCCTCTTTAAAACATACATAGATTTGTGTTGACAAACATTGGTTACACTCTTTGTATTACAATAAGAATCCTGATACTAACAAAAGTTCTAGGATTCACTCTGCTGATTATTATATCTCAGGATTTAACTTTATTCTTCAGAAACTAATCAAATGGTTCTCAAAAAGCCTGTTGATGGTTTCAAACCAGTAGATTTTATAAATTTTTCTCTCTGTCATCTTTTTGTGACCATAAGCTTATTGGCTGGAACATTTTTGGGGTCAAGAAATGCTCACGGTGATCTCCCTCTCAACCATGCAGTTTTCAGGTCCTTTGGGCAAGAATCGCAATCCGTGTGGTCAACTGCATCATAACGAATAGGAAAATATATTACCATACAAATGTCTGGGTGAAATAGGTAGTTTCCCTCCTGCTGATCTACACCAAACTCCATGCCTGCCAAACTTAATTCAAATATATTCAAAGTAGACATATTAATCACATCCTGTGTTCAGGTATCTTTCCTAGACTGGGAGCTGCACCAGCCTAGGAAAGGTCAGAGGTCATGGGAGGACCTCTAGCTTCAATCCCCTTGGTCAGGATGCAATTGAAAAATGAATAATTGTGTGAAATGGTGTGGAAGGGTGGAGGCAAATAATACTATCTCCTTATAATAACCTATATAGCAGCCATTGTATTTGAAGCCTGACATCAAATTCTTTAAACTTGAATTAGAAAAGGCATTTCTTTGATAGATTTCTTTTTGTTCCAGTTTGCAGGCAACTAATCCTCACTGAATTGGATCAAACAGACGGGCACAATCAATTTGACGAAAGCAAGCAATGCCAGTTCTGCTCAATCTTCCCTCAATGAGCAGCAGAGGAGAGAGGGGGAAAAAGAGAAAGAAGGAAAGAAAATCCAGGCATGCCTACACCCAAGATAGCTTAGTAAAGGAAAAGATGAAAAGACAAGTTGAAATATATATGCTGGCAGGTGGAAGCGCTTGCTGTCAGAGGGAGAGTCTGAAAACACCACAAAGATACCAAACACACGAAGCCTTCAGACACTGAGGGGTGTTGAAGGGACCAGGGGCAGGCAGAAGTGGTTGTGATGTCAAAATAAATCAGCAACGGCAGCTCTATGGAAAGAGCCCTGCACTTACTTAAGTTTCTATAGTCTATGATCTATAGCCCAGTGTGGTGAGCAAGTTAATTACTGCATTTAGGTAATCAAGTCTCAGAAAAACCACGGCCTTCCAAAGCAGTATTAAGGCATACTGCTAGATCTTTCTAGGTTTCACTGGCCATTCAGTATGTCACACTGCAACAGCCACCTAACAGGAACAGGAGGAAAATTCAAGAAAATTAGCTCAAAATAAGATGGCCCCAGGATGAATGGCTTTCTCTCTGCCTTTGGACGTGAAGTGCACGACCAGATGCCTCCTCATTTACCAGGAGACACTTCCCCAACAACTCAATTTCTCCATCCATTCTGACACTCAAAGTGTGGGCAATGACTTAGCCGCTTTTGGCTTCTTGGACTCCCCTCCATCCTCTCTCCTCTCACATGCCCATTATTTCTTCCCCTCTTGCCCACTGAATTTGTTTTGGTCAAGTCTAAAATATTTCTCAACAGGAAAGAACATCAAAACGGCTCATTTGGATAATGGTTCTCCCTCACTTGGCTCATTAATAATCTCCACGATTCTCAGAAATCTAGCCTTTCCCTCCTATGGCTGGGAGTCCGGTTCTCTGAGCCAAAGTATTAATCATCTTCAGGTGGTTCCCTTCATCTTCCAAGAAGGAACAATGATGTTTGAGAATGGGAAGAGTAAAACATTTCTTGTCTCCAGGTGCCTAGATATTGTCAATGAGATTGCCATTGTTTTTTGTTGAGTAATGGCTCAAAAATGTTATCTGTATACATATAAACACATAACTGGTAAATATAAGTGTATGTAGATATCCTGTGTGTGTGTCACCAAGCCACATCTTATCATAAATGTGTTACCTAGAAATATGTATAAATACATATAGTTTTATATTTGCATATATGTGTACAAACAGGCAGCATCCTCTTTTTCATCAGTAGGAAACGAGATAGTGTACCTACCTTTACTTGGGAATTCTTCCATATTTTCTCTGTGTAAAGACCCCTAGGTCCACTCGACTTTCATTACTGAGATATTGAGCAATGGAACCACCAAGGTCCAAATTTCTCTGAGCCCTTGGGAGCATCTTACCGTTGGAGGTGCTGGTCCAGAGCGTCCTCCTCAGCACTCAGCAGAGTTGCAGCTTGAGCCAGGAGCTGATGGCTGCAGCTGGCAGATTTGAGCTCCAGGATGAGGAGGCCCAAACAGAACATGGCTCCCATCTCCTCCAGTTCTCTGGTACCAAACTGTAGACCCTGCCAGTTAAACAAAGCATTAACTGTGGCAACGTATAATGGGAGCTGAGTGGTGACACTTTGAAATTAGGAAGAAGGACTTCTACACACAGGCATTTTTCAGACAGTGAGAATTAATTGTATTTGTCAGTCACTGTCCATTACATTCTGTTGTGTGCATTGTGGAGTGGTGGTTCTCAGTCTGTGTGATGTCGACATCCAGGGCTCCCCAGAAGTACCCCCATGACAATAATGAGCTGGTAGGGGTTATAAAGGGAAAGGGGGATATATGGAGATCCAGGAATCTGTACCCTTCCCACACCATGGTCAAAGCAGCAACGCTTTTATCTGTATTTTTAAAAAGGGTTTTTTTTCACTTCTGAAACAGAAGTTCATAAAGAATCTTACTAAGAGATAACTTTTCCTTCCTCTGAATTTATCGGCCAATGGAGAAAAGTAGGGGAAATATTTCATATATAAATACTGAACACTGAAACTTTAAAAAACCAGTATTCATTTAGAACCCCCTATTCAGCTGTACTCATATATGCATGAAAGCAAAATCATGACATGTACTCTATAGTATAATTCATGAAGAAACAGATAATAATAACAATTGACCAAACTTAATTGATCACTTACTGCATGCCAAATACCCTTCTAAGCTCTTTGATTTGCATTAACTCAGCGGATCCTTACCAAAGCCCTGTGAGGTAGAGATTGTTCTTTTCTCCATTCTACAGATAAGGAGATGCAGACTTATGAATACAAGTAACTTATCCAAGGCCTAGCATCTAGTAAGTACCAGAGGCTAATAAGTAAATTCAGTCTTGACTACTCAACATAAAAAGCTGTATAGCGACTAGAAGAGACTCCATTGTGGTGAGCTAGAAAGTGCGTGGTTTTTGAAGTTAGATCAGAATTAAGTGTGAATCTGGTTTCACTAGTTTCTAAATGTGTGGTCTTGGGCTCAGCGAACTCTTTTTGCCTTGATTTTCTCATCTGTAAAATGGAATCATAATTCTCCCCTTCATACCTAAGCATCTGGTGATAAGGAATATTTCACAGTCATAATATTGATCAAAATTAGCTCAATTTATCTTTCTCTCTTCCTATAAAGACGTTTAATACAACGGAATTCAGTGTGGTCCTGAGGCCTTCCTGTTTATAAAGTACATTTGACCTAAATAAAAAATAATAATGAATCATTTTTTATGAATAGATTTTCACATCCAAATAATAATGATTTATTATGGAGGACAGGAATGGGACAATAAGAATGCAGAAGGATTGCTCATAAGCACCTCAAGGAGAAACAAAATTCCAAACTGGGAAATCATAAGCCTCACAAAAGAATTCCTGGCTAAAAGCATTAAAAAGGTAGAAAATCCTCAAGTTTATTTCAGCTGTTTGAAAATCTGATTTGCTGCATGTTTTGACACCTGTTTTCCTAAAGAAAGGAGACATTACTTCAGAGTTAAGGGAAGTCAGTTCCTCCTTAAGCAACAGCAGTCAGAAGGGAAAGACAGATGTTGAACAAGTTGTTTTTTTCTTAAGTCAATAGAAAAGATCACTTTCTAAAGAAAGAGAAATCTGAGTCTCTTTTCTAAAGCTCCGAGGTCTGATTCTTTCCCCAACCCCTTTTCCAGGTTACTTTTATACAATTCTAGAATGGCTGGCTTGATTGGAAGTGAAGGTCACACCTGCCTGCTCAGTCAGCCACCTCACAGGTGGCAAAGGGGAGGCGAGAAGGGGAATGAGAGTAAGACTCTGGCCCTCGGGGGCAGGAGCACTCGCATACACATTTGCAACCCCAGCCTCCAGCAGACACATAACAGGTGCTCTGTAGAGGTTAAAAGAAGGAGTCATTCAGGAAAATAAACCTCACAGTATATGCCATACTGGTAGGTTAGGGAGAGTTCCTTCATACCAGTCAACTTCTATACAATAACAGCTAAAATGATAGTATTTTATAATGTAAAAAAAATTTGATGCCCCAGATGTTGGTCCACATATTTCAGGTCATAGTTGTCATTGTAACAAGTAGTCCAGAAGACCTTGATTAAAGGAACTTGTACCACTTCATTGGCTGTGGAGACTTGGGCAAGGCCCTTATATTCCATTTTGCCCTTTGATATTAATCTCTCTTTACTACTCTGTTTTTTTCTCTTTACTCTCACACAGTATAAAACATATTTGAGAGTTGTTTTTGTTTTGTTTTAGAAAAAGGGTCTTGCTCTGTCACCCAAGCTGGAGTACAGTGGCGCTATCACAGCCCACTGCAGCCTTGAACTCCTGGGCTAAATATATTTGTTTATGTAGATGACCTCCTCTCACACCCCATCACTGGTGTGGAAGAGAATTTTTCAAAGGCAAAGACTGAGGAGTATGTTTCTTCCTTTACATCTCTGGCATGGAGCACATACCTGTCAAATGTCATATCCTCAGTATGTGATAAATGGGTAAATAGCGACTCTAAATGAGTGGACGTGGAGAGGCATGGATGGATTTTTATCTCTCAGATACATATTGTAACTGTCAAGTAGAACTTGACTTCTCTGGGTTTGGGTATGTGAGTGCCTTTAAATCTTGTTCTCCCATTGTCAAATGTTGTGAGCATTAAAAATAAAACAGATTTTATTTTGGCTCCAGGAGACTTATTCATATCTCTGGATATAAACTGGGAAACAGGTAAATAAAATTTAGAAATTTTGACCTCCACTTTGGTCAGTTATCACGGGTTCACAGTAGAAAGTTTATGAATAAAACTGGCTCCGGATTTGTTTAAAAGTGAGTATAAATAAAATGAAGATCCAATTCCCTTCTCACCCAGCTCAGATGTCTTAATTAGAAATTTTTTCCACAGACAGTAACACAAAGTCTGATTATAGTGACTTAAACGAGGTTTTATTTTGCACAAAAATAAATTTGAGGAAAAGGTAGAAGGTTCATGGCATTATTTCAGCAATGTAATAAAATAAAGGCCACACTATCTGCCATTCTCCTGTTTGTTTGTTTGTTTGTTTAAATCTGATTGCAAGGTGGTTGCTATGGCTCCAGCAACCACATCATCATCTGAGGAAAAAGAAAGAGAAAATGTGGCACAACGGCACCAGCACACTCTTGCTTATATTTTATTGGCCAGGCTTTATAATAAAACCACCTCCAGCTTTACTATGCGCTGGTCACTCAATGTTTCAGCCTGTTCACCCTCCTTAAAAGAGACAGGTAAGAGAGAAGAGGGTTAGAAATGAGTGTCAGGCAAGCCAACAGTGTCTATCACACTAGTATTCTGATGCCAATGCTGCTAGAAAATATAGGTCCCTATGTCTGCACAGTATTAGTAAGCAAAGCTAACCAGTACAACCCTCTCTGATTTAAACAACTTTTCTTGATAACTCACCACAAAAGAAGAGTATCTGTTAGATATCTGTAAGACAAACATCAGGTCCAAAAAAGATGTCTAAATAGCATAAGTACTGATAATTGGTGAGCAAAAGAGAAAAAAATAAGGAAATGTGGGAAAATGTTCCATTTCATTTAAATAAAAATGCCTTCTACACTCTGCAAATTGATAGACTATTACATATATGTAATATATATGTACTATTCTTACTATATAAGTTTGCTATATATATATATACACACACACACACACAGCGTGTTTGTGTGTGTGTGTGTGTGTGTGTGTGTCAGAGTTTCACTCTTGTCACCCAGGCTGGAGTGCAGTGGCACGATCTCAGCTCACTGCAACCTCTGCCTCCTGGGTTCAAGCAATTCTCCTGCCTCAGCCTCCCGAGTAGCTGTGATTACAGATACCTGCCACCACACCCAGCTAATTTTTGTATTTTGAGTAGAGACAGGGTTTCACCACCTTGGCCAGGCTGGTCTCAAACTCCTGACCTCAGGTGATCTGCCTGCCTCAGCCTCCCAAAGTGCTGAGATTACAGGAATGAGCCACCGCACCCGGCCTTTATTTTAAACTTATAATACTCAGTGCTGACCCTCATGCTGAAACTGGCACATATCAAAATACCTGGTGGAAGTGTAAATTAATCGAGACCTTCAGGGCAGTGGCTCCATAACATTTGACATGGTAACGTCACTTCAGGGAACCCTTCCTAATAAACTGAACCAAAATAAAAGGGAAGCTATAGGCATAAAAATGTATATTATGACAGTATTATATATAATAATCCAAATTTGAGGGAAATAAAACCATAAGTGTCTAATAGGCGAGGAATGACTGAGGAAATTGTAATGGAATAAATTTGATGTAATATAAGGAAGCTATTAAAATGATAATTATAACAACCATTTAGAATATGAAAAATGCGCATGATTTAAATAAAGTTGAATAAAGTCAAGGTACAAAGCAGGCAGTCACACAATTTATGCCAAAGATTTGGCAATGAAAGCAGAGGTGATGATCCTCAGACCCCACTCCCCTCCACACACACTTTCAGACTTTATTGCCATAGTTTGCCAGGAAAATGTAAACATTTCCAGGAGACGGGGCTCTATAATCTCATCAAGAAAATATCCACATATTTCAGAAATTTTAAAGAATACTTTAAGAAATTATTGCTACCTGGAAAAAATGTTTTAAAAGTTATATATGCCTACAAATGAATGGTGGAATTTAGGTTAGCAGTTTGTAAGATCTTCTCCTTATCTTGGATTTTCTGAAGTAGATTTAAATTTATTTTCATTTCTTTTATTTAGAATTTATTGACAAGATAATTAGTATTTTTCAATAATTCTAGAAAAATGTCATCCATGATCTTTTTGAATATTGCCTCTCCCTTACCTCTGTCAAGGAAATCAAAGATAATATTCAACGTATGTTATGTTTTCTATTTTCCCTTTGTCCTCCACATCTCTTAACCTTACTTTCTTATTTTCTATTTCTTTGTTTCACTGTAGTAAATTCTGATTTTTTTCATATTTTTGTTCCATATTAATAATTCTTTCTTCAACTAGATTGAATCTACTTGTAAACTCATTCATCTCAAAACCATTTCTGAAAAACATATAACCATGGTTATTTTATATTATCATACCTGATTATTCCTGCATATGCAGTGTTTCTGGGCATCGTACAGTAGTTTGATTTTTCTGTTGAGTGTCAGTAGTGTAGTCCTGTTTGCTCAATTATTTTATAATTTTTAAAATGCTAAACTTTTTTTTTTAACATTAAAGTCTGTTTTTGTAGATTGGTGTTAGCGCTCTTTTCTTCAGTTGGAACTTTTGTTTTTCTCCCCTAAGTACTTGAGGACACTACCAATCAGGAACCACTATAGAGAGAATTTTTGGCTTGAGGCCTTTTGAGCTACAGGTACATTTGAATTGTGATTCCAAATCTGCTTGAAGGAGGGCTGTGTTTAGAAATTATGAATGAAGACTTTGCCCATTTTTACTGCTCTACCCAAAGACATGGCCAAGAAAGTCAAATATGCCCACATTGTCCCTTTGCAGATTGCGGTCTTACTAATTTATTGACCACAGTTGTCATCTCTGGAGGTCCTGGCTTTGTGTGATGGTCCCAAATCAATCCTCAAACCTTGCATGGGCCTCTGTCTTTGTTACAAAACCAAGTTATAAGTGAACAGGGTTTAGTATCTGCCCCAAAGTCTTACAACAACCTCTGGCAATCACTTTTTATAAAACAGAGCATCATTGAACATCCTCTGTAAACATGCACAGAGGAAAGACATTAAATCTGTGAAGAAATATTGCAGATAAAAGGGGGCCACTCTGAAGATACCAAAAAAACGTCTTTTTGTGAAATAGATTTACTGCCAGAAATAGGAAAAATCTGGGAAATTTCTTGTTTATATTTTCTGAAAGAAATGAGTATATTGCATTGGTGAAACTACATTAAAAGGCACAAAAAGGAAACAATAAGAAATTAGAAGTGACATCACTATTGAGATTAAAATTCATTTTCTAAATTAAAGGCCAAAATTGTGAGTTAGACTGTTCAATGTAGAAAATAAAATATATTACAGAGAAGACAACTTCAAGAAGTTTTCCAATATCTCAAAGGTGGATGATATGAATTGGATATTTATCCCCTCCAAATCTCATGTTGAAATGTGATCCCCAATGTTGGAGGTGGGGTCTGGTGGGAGGTGTTTGGTTCATGGAGGTGAATCCCTTATGGATGGCTTGGTGCCCTCCCCATGGGAACGAGTGAATTGTTAGTTCAGGCAAGAGCTGGTTGTTTAAAGTGCCTGGCACCTGCTCCTCTCTCTCTTGCTGTTCTCACCATGTGACATGCCTGCTCCCGCTTCACCTCTGCCATGAGGGAAAGCTCCCTGAGGCCTCACCAGAAGCTGAGCAGATGCTGTGGCCATGCTTTTACAGCCTGCAGAACTGTAAGCCAAATAAACCTCTTTTCTTTATAAATTACTCACTCTCAGGTATTCCCTTACAGCAATACAAAACTAACACAACAGATTAGATTAAAATGATGAGCTAAACATATAAATAGGAATTTTAGAAGAGATTAGGGAAAAGTGATATGCTTCCATTTGGAATTTCAAACTCAGATAGTATGGTAGTCATAGCAGAAGCCAAGAAGAAGGAAAAGGAAGGAAAGGAGGATGAGGAGAAGGAAGAAAGTACTCACCTACGGTCCAAAAAATATCTGAGTTTACATATCAAACAGGATCTCCAAGTATTTGAAATATAATTAAAGAAAATAAAGAAAAAAGGATCAAGATCCCTATAAATAACTGAAATTAAACAGTCTAATATTTATTCATACTACTAATACCTAAGACAGTGGAGCAAGATATAAATAATTTTGAAGAGAAAGTATTGCACCTCAAAATGTTTTGGGTAGTAGTGTCAGGAAGACAAACCAAGAGAAGGGGAAACATTGAATGCAAACCACATCATAAACAAGAAAAAGTTTCATAATTTATTTTATAATATTAACATAATCCTAATACCAAAAACTGATTATTGCATTACTAATATATAAACAGGGCAGCAAGCCAACAGCAAAGATAGACAGATAGATAGATAGATACATACATACATACATACATACATACATACATACATACATAGATACATACATAGATATCTCAATTTTAAAAAAATTTATGTTCAGAAATATAAATATATAAAAATATAAATGATTTAGAGAGTATTTTTCTAAGAATGGCATGATGATGGTATCATTAGGAAATCTGCTAGTATAGATGTTAACATACCTAACATATCAAGATAAAGGGCAGAGAACAGAAGAAAATATCAGGAACTTCTAGATGGATGCATCTATGTCTGATACAAGTCATCTCATATGAGCCCACCAGGATTCTCTGTAAACCTGAGAAGATAGCCTGGCATGGTGTGTGTAAACACAGGCCCCAAGACCCATATTGCTGGGGTTACAGTCCTAGTGCTTCCACTTCTAACTGCAGGGTCCTGAGGAAGCCCTTTGACTTTTTAGTGCCTCGGTTTTCTCATCTATGTAATGGAAATAATAATTATAATAAGCATAATAATATCTAATTCATGGAGTTGCTGAGATAATTCAGTGAATTAATATATAAATTGAGATCAGTAGTTGGTCCACTGCATATTATGTAAGTACTTATTATTATCAATAACAGCAGCAAATGCTCATGCAAAACCAATTGTCAAAATCGTACTTGACACTAACACAGTCCTTGTTAAAACTATCACCAAAATTATGGCCTGCTTTCACCACTGTTATTTCCTATTATTTGGCAAGACCCAGACAATTCAATAAGATAAGAAAAAATGAGTCATACATATTAGAAAGGAATAATCACATTATCTTCATTTGAAGACTGATTATATCCTAAAACAAACTAAAGACATCAACTGAAAGACAAAATTTATTAGAGATAGGGCAACAATTGAGTAAATAGACAGGTTACAAATTAAATATACAAAAATCAATTTTCTTTGTTTAAACCAGCAAAATAAATTATTAAATATAATAAAAATTCCATTCACAATAGCAACAGAACTATAAAATATCTGAGAATGAAATTAATAATAAATATCCCAAGGGTTATGTGATAAATCCTAGGACCAAGAGACAGCAAGGAACATCTAAATAAATTCTGGGAAAGCAAGGCCCAGGACCATGCAATATCGATTCTCCTCCTATTAGTCTATCAAAGCATAGGAAATCAGAACACCACTGGGGATTTTCAGACTTGGAAAACAAATTCCCCTCTGGAAGAATACATGGCAAGAATATCCCAGAATAAAAAGTAAAAACTATTAATGAGGGTTTTCCCTTACAGATAAGAAAAAGCTCTTCTACGCGATGATGATGAAATGTTTCGGTATTGATATAAAACATGGCAGGCAGATCAAAGGAAGAATAGAGAAAGCACAAAAATCTTGGGGTAAATAAGTTTGTAGTTGACAAAGGAGCCCTTCAGGCAACAGGAAAAGGACTACAATAAAGATAAAAACTCAAAAGCAGTTGGTTAATATTTGAGAGAAAAATCTTACCCCAAATATAAAAAAAAAAATTTATTTTGATTAAAGAGTTAAATGATCAAAGAATTTAATGATAAAAAGGAATAGAATACATTAATGTTTTATCATCTCCAAACCAGGAGAAGGTTTTTCAATGTATATTTTCAAAGGAAGAAATCATAAAGGAAAATATTAATGATTAGATATATAAAATTTGAATATATCTAAATAACCTGAAATACCATAAACTAAACTAAAATGGAAACAACAAAATAAACATAATTCCAACAGAGAAGAAAATGTTAATTTGCTTTGATATAAAATGCAAATTAATATAACAATAAAATACTATGATTCTCTTCTCATCGTAGGCTTACTCTCAGCCCCAAATCATAATCGTCTCCTGGAAATGGACTGGAAACAGTCACTGTTACATTCTATCATTGGCAAAATGATAGACTGCAGTCTTTCCAAGGAAATTTGGAAGTGTATTTCGAAAGCCTTAATAGTGTTTAATTAAACTCTTGGCGTTAACAATACAAATTTCAGAAATTAATATTAAGGAAATAATCGTAAAATGAGCAACAGAGACAGTCCAAAATGTGCACCAGTCTATTACTAGTCAAATAAACTTGAGTGAATTCACACCGTGGAAATATTGACATCATGTGTTTCAAATTGGCAACGTCATAGGGATATAATCATAATGTAAAGTATAATTGACTATAGTATGCTATATTCTTTATGACCCCAATTTTACTTTAAATTTTTGTAATGCTATATGGGCACAAAAATGTTAACTGGTTAGAAATGCGCGATGAGGTTGCATGATTTAAATATTTTCTTTGTGTGTTTTCCTTATTTTTTTAAAATCCGCAAATTACCTAATTGCTTTTGCCACTCATTCTTTCCTTCAGCAATGCATGTAAGCCTGAAAAAAGTGTATCTGAATTAAGATATTATTTTATGTAATATGTGATTTTAAATCTACAAATAAAATTAAATTTAAAATTAACTTTTATAAATCATTAAATTTAAATTTAATATTTTAATTTAAATATTCAATAATAAAAGGCAAAGGAATGAGCTGGTTAGGCCTATCTAGTTTCTTAGGGTCCTACTTTTTCCTTCCCATGAACTACCTGGTATCACCTAGATTCCCCTTAACTTTTTTAGGGTCACTAGGCTTGTGTCTACTTGGCAGGGGAGGTAAACCCCCAGCAAAAAGGTCTAGTGAAGAAATAGCAATGAGACATCCATTTCCTTAGTATTGTCCCTCCAAACATTCTCAGAACCTTTACAAAGAGCCAGCATGAGTTGAAAGACAGTGACTTTTGGAGTTTTAAACAGGTTTGGAGAGGCTCTGAACTTGAATTAAGTGTGTATATTCCCTGCCTTGACATGTACCCAACAGAGAAGTTAAAACTGAGTCAATCAGACCATGCAGATCTGTGAACTCTAATAGGTAGCAGAGAAGAAAGCATGAGGGCTGGTGGATGGGCTCTGTGGCTTCTCCACTTATCGACCCCAACAAATGGACTCTAATGCTTTCATGCTGAGGACTGGATCAATCACTAAGCATGTTGGTGTCTCTGCCAGCTTTCATCTGATGGGCTCCTCCGTATAAAGCCTCCTCTGTGTGTGTCCTTTCAGCCCAGGTTTCCTAATCCATTACTGACAATTGTTTCCTTAGTAACTGCAAAAAAGGCCATATATTCACTGGCACAGCAGGGTTGAAGGTGTGGGCTAGACTTCAAACATGTCCTTCATTTCTATGCTGGACCTTCCTTTGGGTCTTTTATTGGTGAAATTGTCCCTACACCATGAATGACCACAGCAGACAGCAAAACCCTCTGTGATTACATTTCCATGTTTTTCTAGAGGATGCATACAGAGGGTAAATGTGAATCAGAGACTATATCATTAGGTAGCCTAGAGTCTGATCAAGCCAAACTCTGTTTTTTTCGGATGCATAAACTGCATTTAAAAAGTTATGTAATTAAGTAGCAGTAGAGCCAGAGTGACAGAAATAGTCCCTGACTCTATTAAATTGTCCATTTCAACAGAGGCTTTATACTTCATGGATTTGTTTACCAAGAGCTTTTGCAGATCTGGAGGTCAGTCTTTCTTATAAATTATGTTCTACCTTTCCAGATTCCCTCTCTCTTTTCTCATGCCTCCACCAAAAAACTCAATATGGCACCAGAGACATGCACAAGCCCAGTATTGTGCAACAACAGCCTGCCTCCCTCCCCTTTGCTGTTGTGACCACTGTTTCCTGCACTCATCTTCTCTGGCCCTTTGATCCCTAAGCTCCACATCCTGGCTTCTGAAACCTACCTGCAGCTACCTCGTGTGGTGACTAGCAGGAGTAATCTCTTTAGACCTGGGTCTCTATGGTTTCTCTCAGACCTAATTTTGAACTTTCCTTCTAAGACCACAGAGTGAGGGAAGAAGGAGAAAGGTGCTGCTCTCCCCATGGTTACATACATCATTTTGAGAAACTCAAATGAAAAGGACAACGACCAATTAGAACAGAAGCTGGCCACAGCAATGGAGCTGAGTTCCGTTTTGTTTGGCTTTAACCCTTGGGTTTCTGAATCTCAGTAAGGTCCTGGTGGATCATGTAAGAAGTGTGGGGAAGAATAGGATAGAGAAGTAGTGGGTAGGGGATTCACTTGGTGGGTATGAGCAGGGGCCATTAACCCATAGGTGTGGAAGTCTTGTAATGCACTAGCAATTGGTATAGTCACGCCAGTGAAAATCAGTGGAATATCAATCCTAATCTTTACTTAGACCTCCAAGCCCCACAGCAGCTCATTCAAGTCCATCCAGTGTTCTTGGAAGATGATGGGGATAAGACACAAATCAAAACTATTTTCAAAAATGTGAAATAATTTTAATATGAAGATGTTGCTCCCTAATCTTCCATATGGTGTCTGCCAGGAGAGTGGTCCACTAGGCATATCTTCACTGGTCATGCGGAATGGCTAGTAGTTTTTGTTAGGTAAGAGGACCATAATAGTCAAGTCCAGGGGTATACAAATTATGGTCTGCAGATTAGCATTTGCCTGTGAAATAGTTATGAACTTTTATTTGTGATAAAATAAGAAGCCTAAGCCAGAATGTAAATCAATCATGTAACTAAGCATCTGTTTTTAGTTCAGCTGATTTTATCAATGAAGGTGGCATTGGGATAGTGAGTACAAGCTCCCTCTATCATTGCAGCAGCCAATGAATCAAAAGCTCATAGACCAGATACTTTGAGTAGCACTGCTCCAAAATACACTCTCCAGCAAGATCTCTCTACTTTAAGTAGCATAAAGGGAGTATTTTGGTAGTCAGCTCTCTGGGATCTAAATCCCAACTTTCTGTCCAAATGACCACTTTTGAGTTACATAAGCTCTTCAAGTTCAATGTCCTCTTCTTAAAAATGGGAAAATATTATCTACTGCTTAAGTGCTTCTATAAAGATTAAATGAGATATAAAGTGCACATGCCTTGCATGGAGGCACAGAGTAAATGCCCCATAAAAAAGTGAATTTTTTCAGACACTTTTTCCCTATGCAGTATGTAATATTACACACAGAGGCATAGCAGAATATGCACAGATCACAGATATGTGTGTGTATGCACATTTACATGGATATATAAATGCCACTCATCTTTGCTTAGTTTTGCTTCTCTTTTTCCAGCTGAAATCTTTATTTTTCTCCAATTTTACATGGTCATTTGATATGGATAAAACACAGAAAGGCCAAGTATTCAGAAGTGATATTCAAGGGAAGCCAGAGCTTTTATTCCTCTACATAACTGAAGTTGTTGAATGAGGTAAGATAAAAGATTAGTATTCCCATTATACATAATTTATGTGGAAAGTGGAAGTTGAACGAAGAAAGAAACTTTAGATCTTAGAGCAGAGAATAGAGAAATTGTCCACAAAATGATTCATTTGACTAGTTAAACTGCACAGAACATGAGATGAAGCAATGCGACATTCTCAGAGCGACGAGAGTGACTTGGTATGGAGCCCTGTACTTGGATGACACCTTAGCATGGTCACCGTGCTTAGCACCATCTCCCAGCTCCCTATCTCCAGTTTATCTGGGGACTGTTTGCTTGCTCTAGCAAAAAGGCTTTTAACTGGGTTTCACTGACCAATGAGAGTCCGTGGCAATTGGTAATTCTCCTCTTATTGCATGTAAATTTGTGCGTGGGTGTCTTTTTAAGAGGTGTCCTTGGCTTCCTGAAGAATTACAGGGTTCTCATAATTATTTGCTGCAGATAATGATGTTAACCCAGTCTAGTTCTGCTAACTGGACTGGGTTAGCATCATTATCTCCAGCAAATAATTGTGAGAGCCCATTGTTCATTCATTCATTTAATGGCCATTGAATTAGCTTTTACTATGTACATGACTCTGTTTTAGGAGTTGGGAAAAAAAGCATGGTCTGAATTCTTGAAGGTGACTCATGTACCTGCCTCCAGTCTAAAAATTGCCTTTATTTCTACATCTCTAGCACAGCGTTTGGTACAGGGTGTCATTTTAGAGTCCAGGGTGGACATTTAAAGGATCATTGAAGGGAATAAGAAATGTCAATCCCCAATGATCTTATGCGTATTAAGGAAGCTAAAACATACACTAAAATAGGATTTGCCTTGAATGTCTGAAGGAAGAATAGCTTCTCTGCATTAGGACTTTGGGACGTGTATACTTACAGACATCTTTTGGTTGCTTGTCCCTGCACAGTGTTTTAAAGGTGAAAGAGCTAAGCAGGTGTAGCAACATAAGCAGTTAAGTCCATACTGTTTTACACTTTCTCAGTCCCTGAATTTACATTACCTGCTTGGCTCCTGTAGGCATTCAAGTTCTGAGCATTTTTAGTCACTAAAACTCTCCTTCATTAATACTATTATTATTTTCCTTCAAGTTTTGCTTGACTGAATACTTTGGAGAAGGAGAGACTTAGAACAAACACAAACAGGAAGAGAGGCTAATATACATTAGAGTCTGCAGATTTACGCATGGCTAGAATTTGCTGTTATGATCTAAAAGATAATATCTGACCAAAAGCCATATAGCAATTTTATATTCAGTTCAGTAAATGAGGCCTGACCAAATGCAGAGAAAATCATAATTCAGGTCTTAAAAGCAATGAGATTGCTGTATAAAACTCATACTGAGTCTATAAGTAAATTAAAAAATAATGGTTAATTTTCAAATCTTTGAACTTAAAAAATCAGTAAAAAAAAAATGTGTTGACTATATTGGATTAGTAATACAATTAACTTTAAGGGGAAAAGATTGTTTCTAAAACTTTGCTCTGTTTTTGAGCAAACGTCCCCTACCAAAGTGTAAGTAGATTTGAAGAGAGGATGATACGTGTATATGTTGCCTTTTGAAACATGCACACAGTAAGAATGCAAAGCATTCTGATTGTTCTAAAGGGTAAATTTATTTATTTGTATGTTTGTTTATAAATGTATTTATGTATAGCTGTAGCAATAATGGAAGTCTAGGACCTGAGCAGTTTGACAATGAATATGTCTCTCTGCCCAGTGTCAGGCATGAAGCCCCGGTCAATCGGCCCCTGTAGATCTTTTCAGATGAAAATGAAGATACTGCAGTCCCTCCTTTCTGCTCCTTGCCTGGAGTGGAAAACTGACATTTTCTGCAGGAAACCGTCTTTCTTGCGGGAGTAGGTCTAAACATCTATGGTTCTGCTTACTAGATAAAGGGAATATGCTAAATTCATAACAATCCAAGAATTGCCAAGCCGTGGCTACAAATGTGCCTGTGGCTTTGTGATTCCCCAGGGTGTGCATCTGTGTTGGGAGGCCCCCAAAGTCCATGAGCAGGGAAGTAATAACAATAGTAATAAATACAGGAACAGACCTGAGCACTGTCAGACTGTAATTGCCCTGGCAACAGAGCAAACAGTCCTACCATGGGCCCATATAACTTTGATGCCCAAGTGCTCAGGAGGGAACAGCTGGAAACCCCAGCAGGCAAAACACTTGTTAGCAGACTTTGTTCAGTTCAAATGATGAGAAATGTTTTATTTTTTAATGAAACCTTTTCCAGTTAGTCCTGTCTGCTTCCTGCCTGCCTCCAACCTTGTTTAGCTGTCTCGTTCTTACTTACCTAAGAAAGATTAGGTTATGATCAGGTTCATAACCTGATCAGGTTAGATCTTACGGTTGACAAAAGAACTGGGATGTATTGTCAATGAAAGAGACTTGGAAATTAAAGACGCCGTGGCGGGTAGCAGAAGATAGGAGCATACTGCTGAAATTCTGCAAAGGGGCAACAGTTGCTATAGACAGAAGAGAAAACCCCAATATTGGGCACAGAGATGAGGTTGTATTAGATCTACCTGCAGGTCTAGATTGTATCACCTTTACCTTCAGAGTCCTCACCTTTGGCAGGGTCTTAGCTTATGGAAGCCAAAAGTCTCCCGGCTTCAAATCATCTCATCCATCAATCTGACAATTACTGATATTCTTTTTATTAATGGCTCTTTAAATAGTGTCCACTAATAAGCAAAGTAACACCAATTCTTGCACTGTTTATTAGTGCATAACTGCTACATAGCCATTCAGTGGAGATTCAAGGCCAGATGAAGTGAAACATGGAACAGGTAGGTAAATTCTGGAAAAAAGATCAAGAATCTAGAAATCTTCAGGCCTTCAATGACCCTTTTTAGGAAAGGGATGTGGAGGGGGGACAAATAGGAAATAAATGAGACAGGAACTTTTCTTAATTAAAAGATCATGGCTTACTTCTGTCTTTGTGAATACCCGCCTTTGCTCTCTGTGTAGTACAGCCAGCCAACACATGTTCTGCGTAAATGAAGGGACCGTTACTATAACCTCCACTGAATCTGCATGATGCTTGGTAGTGCATCCCAAACAGCTTTCCTCCAGAATGTTCTAACATTCTATGATTTATCTCTACATACCAACATGGAGGATTGCTCTCCTTAGTGTTTCTGTGACCACGTTTTTTCCCTAAATCAAACCCCAAACACATGGCCTAACAAGTGCTAAATTATTAATGGGGTTATGGGCCAAATATCAGAAACACCCACCAGCCTAGGAACTCTGGCTATGGCTTTCTGTATCCACATGCCCATATAAGATTTGCAATCCTGAGTGTTGCTGATACCTATGTGTCAAAGTAAGAGTCAGTCTACAAATGAGAAACACTGGCCAAAACCAAGGTCCAGGAGGCTGTAAGAGTCATAGTTGTAAAAAGGGGTTCATATTTTCATTTTGCTAGATAGTTAAAAATTAAATGGGCACCTAGGATATTATTGACTCTTACTTAATCCAGAATCAAAATAAAGCAGACCAGTAGAGGTGTCAGTGTCCATTAGTCACAGAAAATCCCCAATAGAGTTCATTTCTATTCAGACTTAAGAAACATTAACATTTACTATTCATTCATTTTTGCAAAAATATATAGTAAGTTCTTTCCAAGTGTCAGACATTGTTACATTCTCAGGCTAAGGACAAAATCCCTATACGCTCATATAACTTAATCCAGAGGAGTCATTTTAATAATTGTCTTGGTCTAGAGGCATTACATTATTAATTGCTTCATGATAGTTTTGAAAGTGCTGTGACCAAAAACTACAGGATGCTACGAGAATACATTAAGGGAATCCAACCCAACCTGGATTTTTGTGCTGATCATGTTCTTTCATTATACATACATAAATACATGAATATATACACACATACATACATATATATATGCATATACAATATAGTATATACACATATAAATTATATATATTTATGTGTATGTATATATTTTAACTCTTACAACAGTCCTAATGATGAGTTTGAGAGAAGTTGAGCATCTTATCTCTGTATTCTCAATAAGCAGGAGACTTGCATCCCTAACTTAGCTCCCCTAAACCTAAATCCAGGGTGCTTCCCACCAAGACACCATGGCTGCTGGCCCATCAGAAGCCCTTGCTCCCTATTCCCTGTTCTGGTCTACCCCAGGCCAGTAGCCCATTTTGTCAATCTCAGAAGTAGGAGACTTACGAGAGATGTGTCCTTCCTTATGATGTGAGATTAGGCCACCACCTTAAGTTTGGAGCAAGCAAGTCCAGACATAAATTATACTGTGATTATCCATAGAGGACACAGCATTTCTAGGGAAAACCATTAACTAGGGGTTTGAAAATGTGACCTCCATTAGCAATAACACCAAATCTTTCTCCGGCATTTTTATATCCCACTGTGAGTCACTTTCCAACCCATGGGGCAATGGATTTCCACTCTAAACGTCACCTCCAGTCAATATGTGTACATACAAACACACACAGAGTATTTTCTGCATCTAATAGCTTTACCCACACACAGTGGTTCTGCCCTGAGGCTGGGTATAAATAAATTGACAGTCTGATTTCCCACTAATGCCATCAGAGAAAACTCTTTCTGAATACTAATCAGAAACTCTCATGAAGTGAGGAAAGCTTGTGTCAAGGAGCAGGAGGAAACGAGCTCTTACCGGGGCTGGCAAACTGATTGGCCAGGAGGCACACAGTCAGCCCGCGGCACTTGTACAGTTGGCATTGTCCCAGGTCAGCTCCCACTTCATGAAATATTTCTGGAGGAACAGAGCAAAGGCTGCTGAAGGCTTAGTGGAAGGGGCATGGTAGACAGTGAGCATATTAGCAAAAGAAATCACACTGAGAAACGAGGAAGGTGAGGGTCTTGGAAGCAGCAACAGTTAACATGAGAGAAACCTAATGATCTTAAAAAGAAATAAGGGCCAGAGAACCAACATGGCTGAGGCAAGATGGAGGGCTGGGGAGCAGGTAAAAGCCAGGGCAAAGAAAAATACAATTTCCTAAGGGAAGGGAGCAGAGAAACCAAATCTGTGACATGAAAACTACTCTCAGTTTATTTGCATTTCAAACCTCCAGTGGAGATGTGGAATTCCTTTTGGTGGAGTTCAGGTAAAAGAACAGACCCTTCTCATGTTAGCTAAGGAGGCAAAAGAGCCACTGAGTACATTTAACCCTCTTCCATGGAAGGTAAACAATGGAAGATAAGGGAGCTCAGGGGGTGTAAAGGAAGAAGGTCACAAGGGTTCTGGCCAGGAAAAGGGAGAGATCTTCAATAAATAAGGGAAAAAGAAGGGAGAGAAGCCAGATTATTAACATCAGTGGTCAAATTAGACTATGTCATATTTTAAGAGATACTTTATTACTTTTTGATGCATAAAGAACTTAGGAGTGCACTACCAAAGTCTGGCTACACAGAGGCCTGCTAGACATTCCCTTCAAAGAATAAACAAGAGTGATGTGTCATTAGAACCTCAACAAGCAGCAAGTTACTTCCTTTAGAACTCTACAACACTGGGTTTGTAATGAAGTTGTTTTCCTACATAATGCAGGCAACCCCCCTAAAGCCCCAGGGTGATATCTAAGCACTTTTGAAGCACCACTAATTTTGTCAGCGTGCTCTTTCTTTCTAATAATGCTAGTTCTGCTCAAATTAAGAGAAAGTTCAAATAATCCAAATGAAATTTAATATTGTACATAGTTTCTCACCCTCTGCCACTTGTTAAGATGGTTGAAAGTAGTTTATGTGTATTTAATATAGAATAAAGACTTCCTATAAATCACAACTTTCCTCAACAAAGGCCAGTAGAAATATGTCCAAATTCATCACACAAAGACCTCCATGATTTTATCTATTACACTGCAGGTGCAGAAAAGGGCCTGGAAGCATGCTTCATGCTCCGTACATTATTTCATTACTTATTTCACTTAATTGATAGCATCTCAATGGAGGTAAGCATTACTACTCCCATTTTACACATGAGGAGACTGATGCTCAGGGAGGCAAATTAACTTGTCCAATATTTAAATTATCTGCCAGTCTTTCTTCTAACTCACACTAACCATCTATAGTAATGTGGTATAGCAGCAAAACTACTACGAAGCCCATAGCTAGACTTTCCTCATAATGTTTATCCCTACTCCACCTCTCCCAGGTATTTCTCCTCCTAATGTATCCAAATTGTACACTTTCTTGAAGTGTTTCCTGACCACTGCAAGTTAGCAATGACTTCCCTTCTCCCAGCAAGTGACAACAGCAACATTTATTGGACATCTAATAACACACCAGGGCAATTTCTAGTTTTTTGAATTGCGTATGTTCTTTTTGTCAACATATATGAATTTGATGGGGAGGAAGTCCTTTCCTAGAGGTACGATGTACACAGAATTACGCATAATATAAGATGCTTTACAAATATTTGAGGGAAGAAGAGGAGAGAAAAGGAAAGACAAGAGAAAAGAAAGTAACGGGAAATTATTGATTACCTACTTCCAAAAATTAGTTTGGAGATACTCAATAGTGTTATTTATATGTTTACATATTTTCTACCAAATATTTACTAGTTAGGACATCATTGCGTGTATTGGTAGTTAAATAGAAGCCGGAGTCAATTGGCTAGTTCAGTTTCTATTTTCCTATTGTGTATTCAGCTGCGCTTCAATTGTTGGGGAACAATGGGAAGGCAAGTTGTTAATAGATATTCAGGATTTAAACAGAAATAAAAGGAAGGTCTGTTTGAATGCCCTGCACACCTGTCCCTCCTTGCTAATAATTTTCCCAGGGAAGAATGCATTTCCGGAGATTGGAATCAGCCCCAGAATTGTCCCACCAGATGCATCTGGAATGATTGTGCCAATGGATAGAGTAGGCTCTTCCCTTACCTCCCTTATAAACAGATGCATCACCTTTTCTGGCAAGCTGTGAGTATGAATTCTTGGCTAACAGAAACAGACCTCCAACTGCTTTTCTGCAAGGCTGCTCTGAAAAGTAGGAGCTGTTGAGAAGATATTACATTATAAAAGAGCATAACCCTACTGAGAGAGATTCCAGAGTGGCAATCTCTCGGTGCCTGGGGCTATGAGAAGCTCCCATTTGATTTTGATGCTCACTGGCATCTTTAGTCAGGAAAGGCTGTATGTAATCTTTGTTTCTCCATGGCTGGCTGACTAGGCAGGGCCCATCATCAGAAAAGGTTTACCATGAAGGGGACTGGGAGGTCAATGACCACAGTCCTCCCCAAGGAGAGCATCGGTGACACCTATAGGAGAAGGTTTGAAACAAAAGGGGATGCCAACACGTTACCCTGACACCTGCCATCCACCTCTTTCCATGAATGTATGTGGATTCTAAACATGAAACTTAAAAAATACAACAATGTACTCTGTAAAGCCTTGATTAGGGTCCTGGTACTAATGGACACTAACTATTAACTTCATTTTCAAGGATGAGACATTGCATACAGGGCCATGGGTAAAGAGTGGTGCCAGCCTGGTAGCTCACAGCTATTAATAGTTCCAGCCCACAGATATATTTTAGTTTGTTTTGGCCCATGCATTTTTTGTCTAAATGCAATTACTTACCCATATGTAAAAATTGGAAGCTTCTACACTCAAAATAAGTCTTTATTATATAGCTTTGAAAAAAATGGGAAGATCTGAAAAAACACTCCTACTTGCTAACAACTTGGCAGAGCTCTAGGGGAGGAGTAGAGATTATAAACAAGGAATGTGATCCAGATGACCAAAGACTCCCCTTCTTGCTTTTCCCTTTTTCTACCCCTTTTTCACTCAGGTACATGATCTGCTTGGCCCATAGAGACATCTGAGTTTGTGGCTCAGAATAAAATCTTCGCATTTTGATTATCAGTGAAACTCTGCAGTCATTCTACCAAAGACAGAGGTTTTCCTGTGAAGAAAGAACATTCTAACTGTGGTTTCCTGTTACCTCTGCTTTGGGGCAAGCTTTTTATCAAACTACTCACATTCTTCTGCTCTAATCTGCTTTCATTTACTGCATAGACTAATTGCAGCTCCTTCACAAAGTTGAGAGTTGGAAAACACACTTAAAAAAAAATGAGCTCTAGGATTGAGTGTTGTGCTGTATTTGGTCTCTGGGAGTATGAGACATTGGCTAGTTCCAGCCCAAGGTGATCGTGTTTATTTCTCTGCAGCTATTGAGCACCAAGTGGAAAGCCATCATGATGAAAGGCATATTTGAAATGAGCTCTTTCCTTCCTCATACTTGATATGCTGGCTTGTATGTCTTCCATTTGGGAGTGGAGACAGCCTGTGGTCACTAGGGGGATGGCATAGGTAGGGTGAATCAACCCATTAGGAACAATAAGGGGAAGGCCTTGGTGCTTTTATTAGCTTTGATTTGTGTTGCCTTCAGGGCTCAAGTGCACGGTTTATAAAAAAGAACCAAGCAGCTATAGATTGTGCGCTGCTCATCACTGTGGTTTATATCCGATGTCTGTGAAGGTTTTATTGGATTATTGGTGGCGTGTTTATTTGCCTGAGTGCAAAAAGTCCTGCTAGGGCTTGAGAATAATACAAAGAGCAGGGGCTTTGTGGTATTATAGGATTTAGGGAAAAGTCTGCATCTTGTACTCCGGGTGGCAGGGAGAAGGGAAAGGAGCAGGCACTGAAGGACACAGTGTATGGACTCTAATTTAAGATGAGACTATTGACTTGGTGTGGAGGGAGCTTGGCAAGCCAGGGCTAACTATTTCTTATTTGTGTATCAGGATCCCCTGGGATGTTTGTGCTGACATAACTCATTTTGGTTTGCATTTGAGGAGGTTATGGAAGGACGGTGCAAGAAGGCTACTCGGCAATATCCCAACTGGTTGATGGGTGAACTAATCTTTCGTGAAAATAAAATGAATATACATTCTCATGGATAAAACGCATTTGTTAGGGTCTATAACAAGGATTCTCTACATCAGCACTATTGACATTTGGGTCATAAAATTATTTGTTATGGGGACCGTTCTGTGCATTGCAAGAAATTGTGCAACATCCTTGACTTCTCCTCATTTGATGCCCATTGCATCCGTACCTAGTTAGGACAACCCAAAATGTCTCTAGATACTGTCAAATGTCTCTGGCAGGGGAAGTGAAAAGGGGGCAAAATTTCTCCCTGCTTAAAACCACTGCTTTACACACACTGAAGTGTGTGTATACATACATTTTTGGGAGATTTAATGTAGTCATTCATGAAATTTCAAAGAGAAAACTTCAAACACAATACTTTTCATTAACTTAATACCCTTGAAATGAGTCTCAGAATAGGGTTCCAGAAACAAATATTGGAAGATTTTTAAAGAAGGAGAATAAATGGATAGTATGCTAGTTTTAGGCAGGTCTTACCCAAACAAATGTTTAAATCTACAATCCGAGGTAGGTATCTACATAACTATGAAATATAAAGCAGCTAAACCACATCTCGGTGTGTTAATATTGATCCTTTGACAACATCTTTCTAGAATGGATAAATCAGGAAGTATAAAAACCTCCGGTAGCCAGTCTTTCTATTCTGGCCTCGAACATTAAAGCCTAGCTCTTATCTTTGGATCTTCAACAATAACAACATTAGGAGGCTGAGATCCCTGTGCCTCTCTGGAAGAACCACAGAAATGGAAATTGATTTTATCCCCTTTGTCACTAAGTGGAAGTCATGTCACAGCTGCGAAGCTCCCTATGATGCTTGAGTTGAAAGAGAACATGAGGAGAACTGGTGTACCTCCATATATTGTCTGCCAATCTTTTGACCCTAAAATGACATTTAAATTGAGAGTGCACTGGGAGTAGAAGCACAGGTGTCAGACTTACTCTTTTAACAGAGGTTTCCTTTTTATTGTATTGGGGAAAGAATAGATGAAGTTAGTGAAGATCACTCATTTGTTAAACAATCTCAGACAATGGAAGGCTTCTGAGCATCCAGTAGAGTCCAGTTGGACTGTAGAAAAACAAGCAAAAACTCCCCAGACTTTTGAAGTACCCCCATCTCAATGACACTTTATGCTGGTGGAAGTAGGGCAACCACATGTGGGACCACAGCTCAAGAGACAGTGTCTCAGATGGGGCAACCAGGACTGACACCAAGCAGTGGACCAAGGAAGACAATACTTTGTCAGACATTCAGGAAGTCAACTGAACTCAGTGTTAAGAGTTAACGTACTCAGTGGCAGGTTTAGTAAGATATCAACACTCAGAGAGATCAGTAGTTGGAACTTATTAGCAATCTATGGAGGGGTCAAGAAGTTTCATGTAACTAAGAAAATGAGAAGAAAGAGGAGTGGGAAAACAGGAACACCGTCATTTACTGACGAACGTCAATGCTCCAGGAGCCAGGCTAGGCATTCCAATCCTGACAACAGCATTGTGGATGAGGATTGTATATGCCAAATAACTCATCTAAATCACTTAGCCAATAAGTAGCAGTGCTGGAATTATAATAAGATCTATACAATTCCAAATTCACACAGCAAGGAAAGCCATGCCATTTCTTATGTGTTTCTACAGTGAGAGAAGTTTTAACCAGAATCTAATCCTCTTTGAATTATCTCTTTGATACAGAAGTGTTCTTTCCTTTCAGCATGAGCCTTAGAAGTACTAGAAAATTATAACTAGTTAGATTGTCTGAGTCAAGACCCTTGGAGGCCTCTATGCAATTTCTCAAAACGTGACCCCTGCAGGGCCCACATCAGAGTCATGGAATAACACTGGTTAAAAATGAATAATCCTGGGCCTCACCATGATAGCTACCAAATTAAGAACTCTGAGGCTGTGGTCAGATGAGATGCATTTTTATCAAGATTTTATGCTGATTAAAACTTGAGAACTACTTAATTAAGTTGTATGTTGGGGGAATATAGGAAACATAGGAAAGGGTGTCTTAAAGACACTTCAGTGAGTAATATCAGAATTTCCTTCTCAGATGAAAGCCAATTTGAGGATTTGAACCAAGAAGTGCTAAGGGATTTACTAACTACAGAATTTTTAAGAATCACTGCTCTGCCAATGAACTGTGAAGTCAATGAAATCCCCAAATCAAACCTACTTGGAATTTGTCCTTGGCAGAGAGTAGCGTGGGCAAGACTAGCTGCAGGATACAAAAAAGTTACACCTATATTCAGAATCCATAGGTCTGGGAGATGAGGGAGCTCGGGAAAGAAGCCTCTAGACAGTGTGCTGATACTGTATGCCTGCCAGTATGTGATTCAAGGACAGTTGCTGGAGGATCACAAATATGTACTTTACAGACATCTTGCCCTATAGTTTTTAAATTCAGGGTTTTTTTTCTTTGTCCTTTTTAAAGTAATGCCTTTTTATTTTGCTCTTATTTTCAGAGAGTCTCATGTGGACTGAAGAAAAACAAGCAATAGAATTCTTGGCTTAGGAAAAAACAGGTATGTTGGACTTTCGTGTTATCAGATGGCTGAAATTCATCTGTGAGGCCCAGAAAAAACCACAATAACAGTAGCTTATAAAAGAAGTTATTTTTCTTTCATAGTCATTTTGACCAGAAGTATATCCCCCATAGTGTCAGAGACATAGATTCCTTATACCTTATAAATTTATATAGCTTCCATTGTCAAGGTTATGGTGCCAGATGACTGATGGCTGAAACACCACTTTCACTTTCATCTGATTGGCCAAAGATGGTCACATGGCCATACTTAGTAATAAGGAAGCTGGCAAACTTAGTCCTCATTTCAGGTGGCCGTGTACCAAGCTAAAAACAGGGAAAGGGATTCTGTTACTAATGAAGAATGGGAGAAGAGAGTATTTTAGAAAAACTGCTGGTCTCTTTCACAAAACTAAATGCCCCCTGTGCCACAAAAAGAACTAGATATATATGCTGTAGCTTATTAAGAAACTAGACTATTTTTACATGTCCATAAAAGAATGCTGAATGATACTTTTAAAGCTTATCCCAATTTTTTTTGGTCCTATGACTTAATGCTTGTCAGACATATGGCATGGGCCATTTTCATGGTTAAATTGATTGGTGAGTGAGTTATTGATAACAATGGGTGTTATAACCATGAACTGACATGTAGTTTTAAAGGACAATACAATTAGGTAGATTTACAAAAGTAAAAATAAAAATTAATGCAATCATTAATTGTATATAACACCACACATAGGCATTATATTATAAGCCCCCCACCAAAAAAAAAAAGAATGTTGAATAAAAGGGCATACTCCAGAATAATTGTTTTTATGTAAAAAGAAAAAAAACCCAAATTAATCCTGTGCATTAAAAAGATAGAAGGAAATGAAACAAGGTATCAATTATGAAAGTAACCATTTTTTCTTATGCAGAATTTGGACTGATATGATCAGCCAATCTAATCACATATTTGCATATATTCTCAGCTTCTGCTGTCTTACCACCTACATTCTTCCAAGTAACTGAATATAGGTAGGGAAAAACACATCACTCTGCTGATTGGGCTCACTTCAAATTCATGACTGAAAATTTCCAGTGGACTCAGTACTACCAAGTCATCACAGTATGTTTCTTTTGCCCATTCATTCTCCTACTCTCTTGTTGAACAATTACTTACCTCTTTCTTCCCCCTAAAACCTTCAACAATTCTTCCCCATCTTCATTCTCAATGATCTTACTTCCAATTTCACTGGCAAAATTGAAGCTATCAAAGGAGATCTTCCAAAGACTCCCACAACCTCTTCTACCCCTTCCAGAATCTATTTCCATATACTCTGCCTTTCTCCTGTTACTATAAGTAAACTACCCATGACACTCTTTAAGGTCAATTCTTTCAGGTATGCATCAGATCCTATTTCCTCATCCTCATAGATGGACAGCCATCCAGCAATTCTTGCCTCTCTTCCACACCATAAGCTTTACCTCTCTGCTAGATCATTCCCATCAGCATTCAAACATGGTATCATTTCTCCATCTCTTAAAAAGGGTCTCTTCATATCACTCTTCCTTCCAAC
Organism: Homo sapiens; assembly: GCF_000001405.40. Taxonomy (NCBI): domain Eukaryota; kingdom Metazoa; phylum Chordata; class Mammalia; order Primates; family Hominidae; genus Homo; species Homo sapiens. Next base: position 86,648,977 of record NC_000015.10, on the reverse strand, counting down.
AATGGCCCCATTTCTCCATTCCCCTTTGCATTAAACTTCAAATTCTTCTTTTATAATCTCACACCCATTACTCTACTGAAACTTCTCATGCCAAAGTCATCAATTGCCTTCATTTCATTAAATCTGATAGCCAGTTCTTACTCCTCATCTACTTCATTTTAATTTATACAGAGAATCAGTTATTCTTCATTACAATATTCTCTTCACTGGGCTTCTAGGACACTATACTACTAGTTCATCTCCTGGTTTTCCTTCTACCTCGTTTCTTATTGTCTTCTGTTAGTCTCTACACTTCAATTCTTAGTAACAAAGGTCCCAGGAATAAGTCAAATTTACTTCTACAGCCCAGACCTTTCCGGTGAACTCTTGGCTCATTATCTGACTAAGGACTTGACATTACTACTTGGCTATCTAACAGAAATCTTACACAAAACATTTTGCAGAACCAATTGTTTATATTGTCCCCACCTGCTCCAAACCTATTAAACTCACAGTTTTCCCCATCTCTGTTGATGGGGAACTCCATTCTTCCAGTGGCTCAGGCCAAAAACCTGAGAGCACTCCATTATTCTTGATTTTTCTCCCACCCACCACCTCTAATCCATCATAAAGTCCTATTGGCTCTGCCTTCAACATATATTCAGAATCTGATCCTCACCACTCTCAAGTCTAGCACCCCACATAGGAAGTCATCACTAGCCCTCACTGAGAACTGCAATAGCCTCCTACCTCATCTTTCTCTTTCCACTCTTGCCCTCCCCTTCCTGTCCTCCCCCACAACATCCCAAACAGTTTTCGCAAAGTTTAGCAAGAGTGAGACCTTCAAAATGTAAGTCAGATTATGCCACTAACTTCTCATTTCTCTCAGAGAAAATTCCAAACCCCTTATCATGACCTAAAAGGCTACAGGTTATGGTCCTTGAGCAAGTCTCTGACTATTTATTTCCTAACACTCTACTCATTCCTTATTATGATCAGTCACACTGGCCACATTGCTGTTCCTTAGAAATGCCAGACATGCTTCTACCCTGGCTCTGACTCTTCCTCCCTCTGGAAGGTTCTTCCACCAGATACCTGCATGGCTCACGTCCTCACATATTCAAATTATCACCCAAATTTCATCTTCTCAATAACACCCTTACCCTACTTCCAGAATTTCCAAACTCTTTTCCTTTCATTCTTTTGACAACACTTATCACCTTCTAGTAATCTATATGATTCATGCATTTATTGTGCATTGTATATTGGAAATTTAACATATTTTCTTTTTGTATTTTGAGACAGAGTCTTGCTCTGTCACCCAGGCTGGAGTGCAGTAGTGTGATTTCGGCTCACTGCAACCTCCGCCTCCTAGGTTCAAGCAATTCTCCTGTCTCAGCCTTCCGAGTAGCTGGGGTTACAGGTATGCACCACCACATTTGGCTAATTTTTGTATTTTTAGTAGAGACGGGGTTTCACCATGTTGGGCAGGCTGGTTTCAAACTCCTGACCTCAGGTGATCTACCCGCTTTGGCCTCCCAAAGTGCTGGGATTACAGGCGTAAGGCGCTGCGCCCAGCCAGATATTTTACATATTTTCTAAGTTGCATGAAAACAAGGATTTCTGTTTTGTTCATTGGTGTATTCTTGGCCTTTAAAACAATAGCTAGCATATAGTAAATAATCAACATTTATTTAGATCATTAACAAATATAGGACACAGGTGATTTTATTGTCCATGTTTTATTGTCCATTTCTACTTTACAAATTATCTTGGATGCATTATTTTACTACCTATGCAGTAAAAAAAAGATATTAAAATTAAGATTTTTAAACTATTAATTCTAGCTCAAATATGGTTGATTGTTATATAAATCAATTAATGTTATATAAATCAATTAATTTGCTACACTTTCATTTGTGTATTTTAAAAATGGGTTTTAAAATGTTAGTCTTTTATGTGAGCTAGAGAAGATCACATAAGAGAAGACAACAAAACAATGTGTTCAAATACATTAAGTCATACAGAATAAGGAAATGTCATGACACTTTAAAAAACTAAGAAAAAAATTAATTCAACTTTTCCTGGATAATTAAGTGTTGATTTTTAAAATATATCTTTTAGAATGTATTTTCATATATAATTTAAGAATGAACATGTATAACCTAATTACTCACCACCTATCAAACACATGTGAAGGCAGAATCGTTCCATTTTCTCAACGTTATTTAGTGATGAAAATAATGTGATCAAGGTCATAGGACTGACTAATGGCAAAATTGAAATTGTGACCCCCTGACTTTCAGTCCAGAGCTCTTCCTATAAAAGCATACAGTATTCTGTGGGAAAAAAGTTATTTATAGTGGGGCAGAGTATACTATTGTTCAAGTATACTCAATAACTTAAAAAAAAGAAAAGTGTAACCCAAACTCAGGGCACAGAGTCTTGAGTGTGGGAAGGGAACATGAGACACATCCCTTTCCTCTCAGGTTAGGCAGGGAGCCAGGAAAAGTAAACAGAAAGATGAGGATAATAGAAACAAAGAAATTGAAAACAAAACCTTTTCTATGAGAAGAGGATAAATGAGACTGGAAAGCACTCTCAAGTTCGAGAAGGACTGTCTAGGGTCTAACATTCCTATTTTCAGGAAACCTGCTAATAGCCACTAAACTGAAATTAACAAAACCAGACATGAGGAAGCCTTCCACTTAGAGTTGTTACTGCCGCCGTGCAAATCAGCATGGCTCTCTGCAGAACCATTTACATGGAATTACCCATAATGCCTGACACCATGATAATTCCCTTCTGCCCTGATGCATATTCTACTGACAGCATTGAAACTCTGTCAAAGAGAAAAAGTAAATGATTCAGCAAACTGTTGATGTAAGACGGGGAAATAAACACTCAGATATTCTGCTACACGCCAAGATACACTCCCAACCTGGCTGGGAAAGAGAGCAGGGATATTACACATTCAGAGGAGTTATACAAAATATTCCCGACTCAAGCCGAAAACAATGCCTGATTGACATGTGGTCAGAAGTCAAGCTTAAACCTGAAAAGCAAGCTGAGGAATTTGAGGCTTTTGTTTTGGTTTTTGATTTTGAACTTTGTTGTCCTAATGTTCCATGGCCCAGAATTCTATCTGCTTGGAACGTTCAGCTCATTGGTGGTGCAGTAAAAATAATATGGATTTTAAAATTAGAAAACCAAGATTGTAATGCAGGCTCTGACATTTCTAACTCATTCTGTGAACTTGGACTGAGTACTTGACCTCCTTGACATTTCTAAGATTAGAGAATCTGATTAGCTGATCACTGTAGTTTCTATCTACTCTAAAATTCTAGGATGTCTTAATAGCTTTTACCTTTCTCAACTGTCAGTCAACAGTGTCCTTGTGGCCTTCATAAAAGGTGCACAGGAGATGGTCAGAAGACCTAGATCACAGAGTCATCAGGGCCACACTCTAGGCAATGTGCCAAACTCCACTGAGCCTCAGTTTCTACATATGCTAAATAAAATCACAACAGAAAATCTACTGCTCAGTTATTAAAAATTAGGATTAAATAGCAATGTGTGCTTATCTTCCCATTTTTTAATTTTAAAATATTTCAGCCCCCACAGAAAAGCTGAAAGAACAATACAATGGACACCAACCTGTCCTTCCCCAATTTTTCACATTTTGCCACACTTCCCTGCTCTTTTTACACACACAAGTATATATGTATGTATATTACTTTTACCAAACTATTTTAAAATAGCTTACAGATCCTAAAACATTTGACTCCTAAATGTATCCTGTCATCTAAGATCAAGAATATTCTTCTATATAACCACACCATTTCACAATAAAAGTTTTAACATTAAGAAGATAATATTAACATGTTGATATTCAATTTTTTTCTAATTAAATCATATGTTTGTTCATCAAAGCTTCTCCTTTTTTTTGTTTTTGTTTTTTGTTTGTTTGTTTGTTTTGGAGACAGTCTCGCTCTTGTCACCCAGGCTGGAGTCCAGTGGCTTGATCTCCGCTCGCTGCAACCTCCGCCTCCTCGGTTTAAGCAATTCTCCTGCCTCAGCCTCCCGAGTACCTGGGACTACAGGTGCGTGCCACCACGCCCAGCTATTTTTTTTTTTTTTTTTTTTTGTATTTTTAGTAGAGATGAGGTTTCACCATGTCAGTCAGGCTGGTCTCAAACTCCTGACCTCAGATGATCCACCTGCCTTGACCTCTCAAAGTGCTGGGATTACAGGCGTGAGCCACCACGCCCAGCCACGTCTCCTTTAATGTAGACAAGCCCTTCAGCTTTTTGTTTGTTTGCTTTTCTGGTCTTTCATGATATTGATTTTTTTTTTTTTTTTGAGTTCAGGCCAATTGTTTTATAGAATGTATCACACAAAACACATGACCAAATCTAATGTTGAATGAAAGATGCCAGACATGAGACATTACAAAAACAAACAAAACTTATCTATGCTGTTAGAATTAAGGATAGCAATTACCTGTGAGTGTTAGTGACTCAATAGAAGCAGGAAGCTGACCTATTAAGTTTGTAAGTCCTGACTTAGGTGCTGATTTTGTGAGTGTGTGCTCACATATTACACATGAAATCAATTTTTTTCTTATTTTGTAGAGACGGGCTCTTGCCATGTTTGCCAGGCTAATCTCAACTCCTGGCCTCAAGCAATCCTCTTGCCTCAGCCTCCCCAAGTACTCCACAATGCCCAATCTGAAACCAACTGTTTAATCAAGCAATTATTTGTCAAAATAAAATGAAATTAAAAATTGAGATAAATATAATTGGAATTGCTTTAATTCCCTACTTTCACAATATAATAAAGTAGTCAAAATGTATAGAAATAGTGATGATTAGATTAATATAATCAGCATATAAAGTGAATAGACATACAGTATATTTAATGTTTATACCACTTAAACGTTAAATTTTTTTAAGTCTCCAAAGAATAGTTTAAAATTTTTTGTTTACTGAGACACAAAACTGCAATAAGTCACCCAAATTAGACATTGTATAGACTGCATTATTTATTCAAGATTAAGTAAGAGTAAAAATAGGAAAAACAACTTTACAAGGTCCTAAAAGTTGAAAGCTGCTCTTCTCTAAGGGCCTGTTGAGTTAAAGAGTAAATGCATAACAAAATAGTAAACTATTTAGATATGTCCACATGACAAATGTAAACCTGCATAAATAAAATCCTTAAATACTTTGTCATTAAATAACTTTTATTCTTAAAAATTTAGAAATATAAAGTCAACTTCAAGAAAAAAGGAGAAAATAATAAAATGCAGTAAAAATGATTTAATGTATTTAAAAAATGTCAAACTAATTACTGAAAAATATGTAAACCAGCAGATAGAGTAAGTAAATCCAATAATCAGTTCTTTTTAAAAAATAGACAAAACCCCAAAATTAAACAAGTCCTATAAATCTAATTAAGAAAAAAAGAGAAGTTAGCGACAAGCTAATATACGTAAAATTTCTTTCAAAGTACTTAAGTCAAATTAAGTCCTCAATATTATGCATATTCACAAAGAAAATCAAGGCTATGGCAGCAAATATAGGGGCATATAGGAGATTAAAAATAGGAGAATTGCAAGTAGAATGTTGGCAAACATTTTAAAATCAGGATAAAATAAAGGTTATCTTTGGAATAGATATAAATTACAAAACAGATTTCATAAAACATATGAAACCTAAATTGATCAATAAACATGAAAAAGTATGTGACTAGATATATATTCTAGGACTATATATGTTGAATATATATGTGTGTACTTCTCAAAATAAGATACTTCTTTTTTATATGAGCTTATAAGGAGCCAGCCCATCTTTCTCTTTATGAACAACGTACTACAAAATGTGATGACTGAAATTGCTGCAGCCATTTTGCTTCCATGCAGTGAGCCAGCCTAAAAAGTTTGCCACCCCAGAAGTCAGAATTGAGATGTAAAAAGAAACCAAGTCATTGATGTCATATAATCATTGATTTAAAGCAATCTCAAAACCCCAAACTCGCTCTACCTATTTACCATCCTGGTATATTAGTGCATAAACACATTTATTTATTTTAACAGTATGAGTTAGTTTTTCTAGTATGTGTAATATTAAAATAAAATAAAATAGTCCTCCTAAAGCACAGAAAAAGATGGTAGCTACCCAGTGCTCTTGGTAAAGGTAGCACAACACTAATTATAAAACTTAAGAAAATAAAATGAAATTGCGAACATAGATGTGAAATCTTAAATAAAAACCAAGCAAATAGAATCAAAAGGATGTAAGGAATAATTCACCATCAATAAATAGTGTTTATACTCAGATTGTAAAAGTGGTTTAATTTCAGTAACATTAAATATTATTTAATAAGTAAAAATTTTAGAAAATATTATCCCTATAATTTCAGAAGACAAAAGTTGCATGTTGTTTAAAATTCTTATTAAATTAGAAATATGAATACTCTTTAACACAATTTTTTTTAAAAGAATTCACTGTAAACTAACAGCCAATATCTTGCTATAGTGAAACGCTGGAAGAAAAAAAATGATAATGTAATATCTGTTAATTACCATGTCTCGTCAATTCTTAAACACTTAATTGTAAAGCCATAAACTATTAACTCTAAACTATTAACCATAAAAAGAAAAAGACAGGGAATGAGATGCATGACAATAAATTTAGCTATTGAGTAAAAGATATATTTCACTTTAGGAAGGCTAAAATGCATGGCAGATCTCTTTATTGTTCCAAATTCTTCAACCCTTCTGATTATAGTTTTATATAGCTTACATGCATTCCTGTTTCCATATGACTTTACAGTCACCACTAGAAATCCAAATATATTTCCCTGTTTCATTGAGGTTGAGCTTGTGTGATTTGCTTTGGCCAAAAGATTATTTGTGGACATGATGCAAGCAGTGATCAAATGTGCTTATAAGTATGACTAGTCTACTCTTACACTTTTCTCATTACCATGAGAACAAGTTCAAGGTAGCAATCACATAATAAGAAAAGACATATGGAGCAGGCTTGAAGTCCTTTCACAGTCTGAAGTAGACCTGCCCACCCAAGCCCTAGCCTAAAGCACAACTGACCAAGCACATCCATGAGCCTGAAAATGAATGCTTGTTGTTTAGGTTACTGAGTTACAGAGTAGTTTGCTACACAGCATTGCTGCAAAAATAGTTGACTGATAAAAGCTGTGGGGTTTTTTTAGGTCTTTTTTTGAAATTCAGAAACGGAGTCTCACTATGTTGCCCAAGCTAGTTTCAAACTCTTGGCTTCAAGCACTCCTCCTGCCTCAGCCTCCCAAAATGCTAGGATTACAGGCATGAAATGATACAAAAATATACACACTGTGGTTGCATTTATATAAAGTCCAAAGACAAGAAAAACTAAAACCAAACAATATATTGATTAAATATTAAATATATACAATTCACAAATTCAGGAGAAAAATGATTCTCACAAAAGTCAGGAGAGTGGTTAACTTGGGGAAATAAAGGAGAATTGTGTGACTAGGGAGTTCTCATGGGGGCTGCCAGGTAACTACCGGCACTGCTTTTTTTTTTAAAAAAAATTGAGTGGTAGAAACTAGAGCTTTCATTTTATCCAATATTCTTTAAACAGCGCACATATATTCTATACGTTATTTGTATATTGTTTTGTGTATTTTATACATTCATTTGTGCACAAAATATTTTACAATAAAAATAAGTGATCACAATAATTTTTGGAAAATAGTTCAATATAGTACACTAGCCTGAATAAATATTACTTAAGAAATTAATATATTTACATGTCAAAAACATCATATACAAAATCTTGAAGGCAAACAACTGCAAAGAAATAATTGTAGTACGATAGCCTAAAGGTGAAAATAAGCTATTAAAGATCTTTTATCAATTAAGAAGGAAAACATTAGGACTCATTCAAAGTCAAGAGTTCAAAAGAGGTAACTAAGCCATTCACAGAAGAATAAATGCAAATGGCCAAAAGGCACATAAAAAAAAAAATCAACCTCAGTAATTAAAAAATAAAAACAAAACTAAGTGTGAATATTTTTGTATCAAATAATCAGAAATTTTAAATTAATATTATTCATTGTCACTGAGGGTGGGATAAGAGAGGCAATCTTCTAGACTCTTGGAAGGATGTAAACTGGCTAATTATTTTCAGAAAAATGCCTTGCCAGATTTATAAATATATTTTAAAAGGTCATACCATTGACCTACTAATTAAACTCTTAATTCCTAAGGAAGTAACTAGGGCTGTAGACAATGACTTATTACCAAATCTTAATTGAAATCTTATTCATATTAGGAAAGAGACAGAATCTTAGATCTCCAAAAAGTAGAGAAATGGTTAAACTTGTTATTACATATATTTGAGTGGAATATTATTTTACCAACAAAATAATAGTTTTAAATGTATTTAATGACATAGGAAATTGCTCATGAGACTATAAACACAGCAACACATAAATCTTTATACCCATAACTACCTATACACAAATCTATGTATGCATGTATTATATATTAATACACACAAGGATGGACAGAAATGTGGTAAAATATTAACAATGGTTTCTTCTATTATCTCATTTCTATTTCTAAATTTTATAAAAGATATCTGATTGCTCTTCCAATCAGAAAGTGTAAGTAACATTTAGAAACACTCATGCCATAATATGTGATATTCCCACTCTATTATAATTCTGGACTTTATAAACATAGGAATGACACATAAATATATCTTTGGAAGGAATTTGTCTATTTTGTTGAGCTTAAATCCTGGTGGTCTAGGTGGAGCATTCATCTAGGAAAAAGCCTATTTTTGCAGATGGTGCATAAAAGATGTGCTAGAGGATGATGATGATGGTGCTGATAGTAACAATAATAACTATGACATGTATATAGAGTATTACAATTTACATTGCACTTTCAGACACATTATCTCTTTCAATCACACCAGTCCACTGGAAAAAATGTCACAGCCCAGTACACACACCATCCATTCAGCAAACCTCGGTCCCACATATGCTGTTGGGAAATACAAGAAAGCAGAAGATAAGGACAAGCTTTCAAGGAGTTTGCAGCCTGGTTATAGAGATAAAAACCTGCACCCAGAAAACGTAATGTGATGAGGCTGAAAATATTAATATACATGGGTTTCCCGGCTTTCCTCCTTCCTTGCCTGCTAAGGAGAACTTGCTTTTCCTGCTCAGGTCATTGCTCTCCTCCACTCCCCAAAGAGGGATCAGCAGTTGCCAGACCATTTCTGTGCTGCAGCCAGACTTTGTCAGTGGACATTTGTCATCTAGAGATGGAAGAAAGGACAAGAGACCCGGGAAGCTGTATGGGGGAGGTAGGAAGAGAGCAATTTCGGAGCAACCCAAGTGTAGTTTATGAGTTAAGTAGATGGGAGGGAAAAACTGGAATTCAGAGGAGGTGTGGCACAGAAGATGCATGGCCCCCATAGTATTTTTAAGAAACAGTAGTAAATAATTTGAGTCCACTGAAATCACATTTAGCCACCAGACTCTTTCTTTGGCCACCACATTAATCTAATCCTGGATCAGAGTTATACCAGAGTAACACTTTGGAGTTGCTTCCATGTAGAAGTGAAGGTACTTACCAAAGAAACTCCTGCTCTTCCTTCACTGTACCACAACAGTTTTAATATTTGCAAGTAGATCTAGTGCAAGGTCATTGTGGTAGGCAGACTTCCAAGATGACCCTCAGTGATCTCTATCTCCTGTATTTGTGCCTCTGTGTAACAGCCTCTTCTTGAGTGTGGACTGGAACTAGTGACTGGCTTCTAACCAATAGAATACAGTAAAGGTGGCGAGATGTCAATTCTATGGTTAAGTAGCAGAAGACTGACTTCCACCTTGCTCATACTCTATTGCCTTCTCGCTTGCCTAGATGGATGAAGTGAGCTGCAGCATCAATGAAGCAAAAGGCCCACCTGGCAAGGAACAGAGTGGCCTCCAGCCGACAGATAGTAAGAAACTGAATCCCGTCTACCAGCACGGAGAGAACTCGGAAGTGGATTGCTACCAAGTTGAAACCTGAAATAACTACGATGAGCTGACACATGGATGGTAGCCTGTGAAAGGTCCTGAAAGCAGAGGCCCAACTGAGCCACACTCAGACTCAGACCCACAGAAACTATGAGATAATATGTATGGTGTTTTATGCCTCTGAGTTTTGCAGTGATTTGTTACTCAGCAATTGCAGACTAATACAGTCCTATGTTTACCTCTTCTTTCATTTTCCTCTTTCTCTCAGAAGTTCCTCATCTCCCCACTAAGTCCTCCTGGCCTCCTCTTAAGGCAAGCTCTCTATTCGGATTACTTAGACACTGAAGCTGCATGTGAAGAACAAAGTGTGGGGCTGACAGGAGTCTTGGAGATAAAGGAGAATGCTGCCTCAGCTGTGGCCATCCACCAAGTCCAAAGACCCCACCAGAGCAACTGCTTGGTCCTCAACACTCACTACCCACACCTGCTTCCCCACAAGATAGAGTGATAATATGATGGCAGCCTGAACGCGGCACCCATGGTCTTGAAATGGACCAGGTGATACAGATGCAAGTGAAAATGCAGCACATCGCTTCCTTGGAAGATCATTACAAAGAGCCAGATCCCACACCATTGTCATTGAAGTATTCATAGAAAATTTCAAAAGGCATATGAAGACATTTTAAAGGCACATCCATCTGGTCACTACACAAAACACAATGATACCAACTGTTGTATTGCAATATTTCTTTAACTTGACTGGGCTACCAACTGCTACTATCTTGAATAGCACCTTTAAGATGGCCACCATTGTAGGATTTTTTTCAAAAGGGCAGGAGCAGTTCTGGGTCTCTAGCCTGTGCCAAGTTGAAAGAAGATGAGAAGTAGTCCCGAAGTATGAAGTATAAAGGATTTTTTTTCCTGTTCTTCCTCTGAGGTCCTATCAGGAAGCAAATACACAGGGATGGAAAAAACATGAGAGCCCTGAGGGGCAGAAGGATAGAGAAACTAGATTTTCTACCTGGGAAAACAAATTGCAAATTAATATTTTCCAAACACCATCTCCCTCTTTGATGCTATAAAGAGCACAGATCAGGCAGAAAGCATGTCCACTGCCTCAAAGAACTTACAGTCTCATGACAAAGTTCAGATGACAATATAAAAGCAAACAGTCTGGTGTGTTCCTTCTCTTTCATTCTCCCTGTTTAATCCATAATCAAGTCTTGTTGATTCTACCTGCAAAATCTGAGTGCTTCTTACCACCACCACCCCTGCCACCCTCATTGCTTTTGTCCTACTCCAAGCCACCATCTTTCCCTGGGATGACCCCAATAGCCTTTGCTAGTACTGCTTTCTGCTTCCAATCCATACTTTATATTGTACATAATATTTTTGTAGCTCCAAAGAATTCCCATAGCACAGAATCATTAACACGCCTTTAAGTTCCTTGACACTTTAGCTTCTTTTCCTCCTCTCTGAACTATCTTCTGCCACCCTCACTCACTATAACCCGGCCTCATTCACCTTCATCTGTTCTTCAAGCTCATCAAGCTATCTTCTTCCTTAGTGCCTTTCTCATTTGTGTTTCTCTATGCCTGAAACAATCCACGTTATCCTCCTTCACCCAGGTCATTCCTCCTCAGCACTTAGCTCTCCCTGACATGCCACATTCTCACACTTTTCATGACCCTCCACTCTTCATCAGGACTCTGTTTCATTGCCTCTTACATCTATTTTTTCTTAACACATCACAATTTATAGGTTACATATTTGTGTATGTCCTGTGTTGTGTAATGTGCATCTTCCTCACTAGATTACAAACTCTATGAGGGCAGGTACCAAATATATTTTGTCCATCCTCTGTCATCGAATAAATGATTGGATGGTGCTCCCATACTTCAGAATTTTCACAGTTCTTTATGTCTGCTTGTCACCCAGCATTTCTATGATAGTTACTTGTATACATACCTGGTTGTGCCTAAAAAGAAATCTGAACTCCTTGAAGATGAGATCTGTTCTTATAAATCTCTAAATCCACCTTAAGTCCAGCAAGAGCCCTATATATAATTGGCACTGATAAATATGTAATGAATGGATGAAACAATTGAATTGTGCCTATGAGTCATCATAGGTGATGTCACAGTGTTTCAGTTAAATGTATTAAAGAAGGTAATCTTCTCTTGCCTTTCTGTATGTATGTGTATATATATATATATATATATATATATATATATATATATATATATATATATATATATGACTGGTGGTTCCATGCAAAGCTGTAAGCCAATATGATAAGATTAAAAATTTCTGACTCACAGTGATTCAGTAATCTAATAATCTCCTTACAGTGAGGATGTGATGAATTTGTTTTAAAATGTATTTCATAAGGGAAAAAGTTTTACTCTGTGTCTTCCTAATAGGAATTTTTTTTAAATGTAGGAGATGTTCCAGAAAAAAAAAAAACTATCTTGATGAATTAAATAATACTTTTCTCATGTCCCCTCTTCTCCTCTCCTGTCTTCTCTGTATGTTTTAAATCGGAATGTTTCAAAATGTCCTGAAATCATTACTCCTGTAAAATTGTCCAGATGAAACGGTGAAAATGGACTTCTTTGACTAGACATCTATAAAATGTCTCTGAAACAGAGCATCAGTGGAGATATATTTATTAAGAAACTAAAGAAGGTGAGGTTTCATGGGCCCTTGCTAACAGGCTCCTTCCAGGGCCCTACTGTTATAAAATTTGTAGAAGTGGGTATTTTAGCAGCAATGAATTAACACTGTGCTGTCTCCCCTCTCCGATACTGCCACTTTTCCAGTCCCCTCCATCATATTTCCCCTCATGTGGTATGGTAAAGCAGTGTTCCTGGACATTTTGATCATCACACTGAGGAGGAGATGATTTAGGGATCTATTTAGTTCATGGTGAGTGGTACCCACTTATATGGTTCATAGTGAATCCAATGTGTCATTAAATCATGGCTACCATCCCACCATTAGAGCTTCTAATAACTCTCCTATCTCCAACTGTGCTGACTCACCCAATGTTGGGACACAAAAGTTAGGGCCAGGAGTTCTATTGATAACTCCTTTGGCAGTTGGCACTGAGAGGAGAGAGGAATGAGACACAATGCTTGAAATAAATTATGTTTTTTAATCTCATGTTGGAATGTGGCAGCATGTTGACCTATGTGATGGGTGATATCTTTTGTCACTCTAAATATTCACTTTTGTAACTATTTTTATATTTGTAATATGTAATCTTTTTCTTATAGAGGAACTCCCGAATGTTATTAGATGAAGGCCCCACAAAAGCTGTATTTACTGCTAGACCCAGCACACCTACTTTTCCTTGAGTAAGAACACAAGACAACTCTCAAATACATCAGGATCCTTAAACGTCCAGCCTGGCAGGAATATCACTTGTTGAGCTGAGTCTGTTACATTAGCCTTCAAAACAGAGAGCCAAAACAGTGAGTTGTTCCTCTAAGTTACCTCCACAGCAACCTGAATCGCAGTTCAGGGCAACAGTACTTTGCCCTTGATAATTACACAGCAATGAGGAGGAAGAGGAATAAGAGGAGGGGCAAGAGAAGGAGGAGGAGGAGTAAGAGGAGTAGGAGGAGGAGGAGGAGGAGGAGGAGGAGGAGGAGGAGGGGAGGGGGAGGGGGAGGGGAAGGAGGAGGAGGAGGAGGGGGAGGGGGAGGAGGAGGAGAAAGAAGAAATGATTATATCCCCTGCCACCCAAAATAGGGCAAGACAAGAAATTATGGGTAAACTCTAGTTCTTTTAGTCTTAAAAGAAGAAAATATGAAGGAAGCACTCATTCTTTTCTCTTCTCCACAGCCTCTTAAATGAGAATATATCATTACAAATCTGATAAAAATTACTTTTCTCCTAATTCATAAAACAATTTTATCAGTTTTGTTTATGCAGAATGTCCTCATTTTTCAATATACATCTAGTGGCGTTCCCTTTAGACACCATGAGGGTACACAAAATGAAACATGCCATCTCTTGTTAAGTCAATGCTTATAGAGATAATTTAAAGAAAAAAAATGTCTTTTAGAGATTATGCTATTTAAAGAGAGATAAAACAAATGCGGCAACATAATGCAAATGAAACGGAACATTTTTATTGCCAGAGTCTTTTCAGTTATATTAGCTTCATCAAGTTTGTGTGAATTTATCTAAAGTAGTGGTTTCCTGGCACATTTTTCTTTTTTATGATGGTTTTATTGAAAAATAATTTACATATTATAAAATTCACCCTCTTAGAGTATACAAGTTTGTTTAGGATATTCACAGAGTTGTACAGGCCTCACCACTATCTAATTTTAGAAAATTTTCATCACCTCAAAAAGAAACTCCACATCCATTAGCAGACACTTCCCATTTTCCATTTCCCTAGCTCCAGGCAACCAGTAATCCACTTTCTCTCTATATAGATTTTCCTGTTCTGAGCATTTCCTATAAATAGAATTGTGCTTTATGTGGTATTTCATGATGGGCTTCTTTCACTTAGCGCAATGTTTTTAAGCTTCATCCATGTCGTGGCATGTACCAGTACTTCATTCCTTTCCATCAAATCCACCCTATGGAAATACCACATTGTGTTTATTCTTTCATCAGTTATCCGGCTTTGGGGTTGTTTCTACTTGTTGGCTGTTATAAATAGCGCTGCTATAAATACCTACATACAAATTCTTGTGTGGACATATGTTTTCACTTCTCTTGCATATACACCCAGCCATGGAAGAGTTGGGTCATATAGTAACTCTATTTTCAACAATTTAAAGAATTGCCACACTGTTTTCCAAAGTGATTTCACCACGTTACATTCTCGCCATCAGAGTATGAGGGCTCCAATTTCCCCACGTCCTTGCCAATACTAGCTATTTTCTGTCTTTTTATTTCAGCCATTTTAATGGGTGTGAAGTGGTATCTCCTACTGATATTGATTTGCATTCCAAACACTTTTGATTGTGCATGCCTATTAGCATTTGAGCATTCACCTCACTTTATGTGTGGTGGATTATTTATAAAGTTATATATATATACATTATATATATATATATACATTATATATATACATTATATATATATATACATTATATATATATACATTATATATATATACATACATTATATATATATACATTATATATATATACACACACATAAAATATTGTATTTATACATATTACTGTGTATAATACAGTACAAAGATAGCATATAGTATGAAACATCCCCTAAAATATGTTTGAAATATAAGACAGAAGTTCTAACATTTTTTTCCAAATATTTCAGAGAATGATCTTTTTTACTCCCTTGGGATTAATTCATTCCACTTAGAAAACACCTATATAAAGAACCATCAAAATTTAAAATAAAAATTCTGCTAAGGAGCAAAGATTCTAATATTCTTTCAGCAGTATTTATTTACTGAGAGTTCACTATATATGTAGCATTCTAAGTACTTCCCAGTAAACAAAGTACATAAAAGATGATCCATGATGTCAAATGTTACAGTATATATATCATTTCATAAACAGGTCCTGTTGATAGAGATTTTTTTAACTTAGCAGCAGGTGACCATATTACATAAAAAAAATTCATGGTGCAACCAAACACAGCAAAACTAATCTGATATGTCTTAATGATATAGGTAATAATTAACGTGTGTGCAAGAAACCATAAAAGCTAACATTCACCTAAGTTCTATCCATTCATTATCACACAACACAGCATTTTTTTTCAGAGCTGCACCACTTTTTTGTAAGTATTAAATGGTAGTCAGATAATCTATGTTTTCTCTGTAGTTGCTTTCAAGATACTTTCTTTGTCTTTATTGTTCTGAATTCTTACTACTTGTCTAAGTGTAGATTTATTTTTATTTATCATATAAAGAATGGCTTATGTCTACCTAATGTTACATTTCACAATGTTCATCAAGTCTACAAAGTTCTCATCCATTTTGTCTTCAAATATTGCTTTTGTGTTTTTGTAGGCTTTTTGGTTAATAATTGAACTATGCAAGTGAATCAAGTATGGTTAGTTTGAAGCAAAAATTATCCATAATGACAAGAAAGGTAAGAAACAAAAAAGGCAGTAGTATTAGCAAAACCTTTTTTACAAATTAACTGCAAAAACAAAACTACGCTGGCAGAAGAAATCCCTAACACTACACATGCATCTTAAGAGCAGTGGCAATGAATACACCTGCTCAGAAGCCCTTACTTATAGGCAACACCACCTAAAAATTACATGGGTTAGTTTGAGCTCACAGAGAAGGAAGCCTTTGTGAAAAAGAAAAAAAAAAAAAAACATGATGAGATTTAGTTATTGTCATGGTAGTAAGGTTGGAAGTGAGAGAATCTGAGAATCTTGATGAGACATCCAGAAGCAAGGTCTGAACAACCTGAATAGTAGAGTGGTCTACAAAACTCCCCTCCTTTCTCATGAGTTGCAACTACGTAATTCAAATGGACATGATTAACATTTTTTTGTTGTTGAGACAGAGTTTCGCTCTTGTTGCCCAGGCTGGAGTGCAATGGTGAAATCTCGGCTCACCGCAACCTCCGCCTCCTGGGTTCAAGCGATTTCCCTGCCTCAGTCTCCCACAGTGCTGGATTACAGGCATAAGCCACTGCACCTGGCCAGCCTTTTTTTTTTTTTTTTTTAAAGAGAAAGACAGGGTCTTGCGCTGCCACCCTGGCTGGAGTGCAGTGGCATGATCATAACTCACTGCAGCCTGGAACTCCTGGGCTCAAGTGATCCTCCTCCCTCAGCCTTCCAAGTAGCTGGGACTACAAATGTGAGCCACCACACCTGGTTAACTTTAAAAAAAAAAATTGTGGAGACAGGGTCTCCCTAGGCTTGCGCAGACTGCCCTCAAACTCCTGGTTAACTTTAAAAAAAAAAAAAATTGTGGAAATAGGGTCTCCCTAGGCTTGCGCAGACTGCTCTCAAACTCTTGGTTTCAAGAGATCCTTCTGCCTCGGGCCTCTCAAAGTGCTGGGATTACAGGTGTGAGCCACAGCACCTGGCCGACCTAATTAACTTTTAAAACTAGTACGAAGCAGGGAACCCAATGAGAACAGAGGGAAGAAACCATCAACAAAAGGGGATGGAGGCAGAGGCAGTAGAAAGAGGCTCTAGGCTCCATTCAGATAGGAACAGATTCAGGACCTGGGGTTGGCTATGAGAACCCACTGGGCCCTCTAGCTACCCTAAACAGCCTTCTTCTGCATCTCCCTGGGAACTCCCATGAACCACACCTCCCATCAGGGAGTGTGTTCATCCTTCCAGGAGGTTCCATTAGCAGGCTGCCCCATACATCTCATGAGAAAGGATGCAAGAGATAAATAAAAGATGCCAGCAGGCCTCAACTCAAACTACAGGTCTCAAAGAATTAGTAAGTCAGAAACATGTATTTTAGAAATAAAGGAATATGGGCTTTAGGTCTTCCCAGTAAACTTGACTCTTGGCAAGTCACACAATCTCTCTGAATCTCTCTCAGCCCCTCTGAGTTCCTTTATCTTTGACTTATGCTGTTACTGACCCCTTAAGACTGTTGCTAAGATTAAAAATTGAAATGTTTGTTAAGCATAGCACAAAGAGTGCTCAATGAATATGACTTTTTTTTCTCCCCAAACCTACGTCTCCCCCTACTTCCTCCTAAGGAAGCTGTGACAAGAGGAAACTGTAAGATTCTCCCAGGGACTTGAAAGCTTAAGGAGATGAATAACTCCTCCCTTCTCAGGCCTGGTCCCAAGGCCCAAGGCCACTTGTGTCACCAGCGTGTGTCAGCAAGATAGCAGAAGCAGGAAGAGAGCCGGACGGAAGACACCTACCCTGGCTGGCAGACACCCCTGAAGATGGAGAAAGAGGCCTTCCAGGTACCAAGTAGCAGTTATGTCAGACTAGGACACTTCCTGTTTCCAGGAGGCTATAAAACCTCTGTCCTGTCCTCACCTAGGCTGACGCCATTTTAGGCCTCAGCCCACCTGCACTCAGGCGCTCGTTAAAATAGCACGTTGCTCCACACCTCCTCATGTTATCTGTTGGTGCGCTCTCCGGGTTTGAACAGATCCAAGAATCTGGTTCATTTGCTTTTACTTACCTCTACATTTTGAAAGGAAAAATTAAGGGGCTTTTAGCAATCCTGCTAATTTACCTATTATTTATTTACTTATTTGTGACTTTGGAAAAAAATAGCTATGTTGTCCTCTCGAGCTATCTGAGCAGAGCTCACTTTGTTCTTGTCACAGAAGACAGAAGGTTAAATTGAAGAAGCTGAAATGCACCTCTGGCTCAGGTGAGAGAAGGGAAAGGAATTAAGACAACTCAAAGAGTGGCTCATGGACCAGCAGCACCTGCATCCGTGAGAGCTTGTGGAGCCACAATCTGCTTTTTAACACAATGCCCAGGTGATTCTTTGCATAAGATTAATGTTTTGAGAAGCACAGCACTCTTGCATCTTAGCACTTATTGCCCTTAATTGCCCTCCCGTAAGTGTGGGAGTCAGCCTATGGAGTCTGTTTTGCACTCTGGCTCTCCATTCCATTATTAATGACAGAGCCATTCAGGTGTCCCTGTTGGTACAGTGACACAAGTGACCAACGCTGAGTTCCACAGAAACTATCATGGAACAGGCTGGTTCTTTTTGTCAGTGTTGGGGCCACCATCTCACCAACAGCCAAGAGGCGAGCAAGATTAGAATGTGAAGGATCTGGATTCATAATGCCTGAGGGATAGACACAAAACACAGTCATTAACCTTGTACACAAAGGAAGTTGGACAGACATGGCCACTTTGCCTCACCCTATGACTTGCATCCTGACCACATAGAAGGAAGATTCATATAAGGAGAAATTTTCATCCTCTTCAAAGCACCACATTGCAGAATTAAAGATGCTGAATTTAACAAGCAAATGGCAGCAATGTATCTGCAATTGCAATAAGCATCTGCTTTGGCTGCCATATCCTCTATTCTTATATTTATTAATGTAATGCTAATTAGTTCTACTAAGGAGAGTTATAACAGAAGGGTAATGACCAGAAGCCCCATACAAATTGTTCCTCTTCATCTGTTTTCTTCTTTCTCTTTTTTTCCTTTTAGCAATGAATTGATTAGGGCCTGAAATAAAGGAAATGCAATATCTGTCAACTCACTATAAATATGAACGGGAAATTCTGAGAGGGTTTTTTTTCCTGTTTCTTTGGCATTTGTTTCAATGCTGCCTAGATTTATTCAGAAATGAGCCAAGAAGCCAGTACTATAAAAATGACTAAATGCAAACATAAAAAATTAAACCTTTGTACCTTGGACGAAGCTGATGGTTATCTAGCTGCAACCTCATCTCCATTTTTATTGGAAGCAAATTACATACCTATGTATGATTCAAAGGGTGCGTTATTTTATTCTTATTCTGAATGTGTGGGGTTTGAGTGCTATAGTTAACTTTGTATAAGCAAGATGATAAAGCTTGCCTTTAGGCTTCGTATGTCCTGTTCACACAGACAAACTGACTGACCGATATGCAGATAATCATAAGACTCATGCCAGCTCTAAAATTAACTGCTATTCCACAGAGATCCATTAATTCAGAGTAAATCTTTTGCCCAGCAAACATGAATTTGCCATGCATCTTGGCATTTCTTAAATAAGCAAAATAAACACATTTTTTTCCTTCCTGTTACTTTCTCAAGCTCCAACCAATCTTTATCTTCTTAAAAATGTTTATTGGAATGTAAAAAAGTTGAACTCATAGAAACCAAGTAGAATGGTGGTTACCAGGAGCTGGAGGGTGGAGAAAATGGGAAGATGTTAGTCAGCTGTAAATGTTACAGCTATAAAATGAGTAAATTCTGGAGACCTAATGTACAGCATGGTGACCATAGCTAATAAGAAGCTATGGTATACTCGAAATTTGCTGAGACCAGATCTTAAGTGTTCTCATCAGATACACAAAAAAGTTAACGATGTAAGGTGACTGACATATTAATTAGCTTGATTGTGATGACTCTTTCCCAATGTATATCAAACATCTTGTTGTACACCTTTAATATACTGTATACATTTTATTTGTCAATTGTACCTCGGTAAAGCTGAAGACATTTAAAAATAAATCAAATTTCAAACAAAAAACTTTTTTTTTTGAGATGGAGTCTCACTGTCTCCCAGGCTGGAGTTCAGTGGTGCAATCTCTGCTCACTGCAAGCTCCGCCTCCCGGGTTCATGCCATTCTCCTGCCTCAGCCTCCCAAGTAGCTGGGACTACAGGCGCCCACCACCACGCCTGGCTAATTTTTTGTATTTTTAGTAGAGGTGGGGTTTCACCATGTTAGCCAGGGTGGTCTCGATCTCCTTGCCTCCTGATCCACCCACCTCGGCCTCCCAAAGGGCTGGGATTACAGGCATGAGCCACTGCGCCCAGCCAAAAATTTTTTTAAAGAAAAAAAATTAGTTCAATAAACATGTTTTAGACAAGTACTGAGATTTCATTCAACGCGCCTATCAGTGCTATGTTCTAGGTAAGACCCTCATCTTGCATATGAGAAAATAGGCAGAGAGAAATACCTCAAGGCAAAGAGCCAATAAGGAGTTGGGACTCAAACTATGTCTCCTAACTGAATATACAGGGATATTTTCACATGCCTAGGGGTTCTCAAAGCATGATCACTGAACCTGTGGCCTCCGCACCATCCAAGAACCTGTTTGAATGGAAATGCGGGGGCTTCACTTCAGACCTATTATTACAAATCGAAAACTCTAGGGGTGGGGCCCAGCAAGCTATGTAACAAACCCACAGGTGATTTTGATGCATGCTCAAGGTCTGGAAGGACTGCACTAGCCCAGAACTGCCTTCTCCCCAGAACTATTTGGAAAGACAGAGGACACCTGCAAGACTCAGAAGGCACTCCCTCTTAACACCTTTGTTTCCATGCCTACAGCTCTCCTAAACAGCCCCGTGTCTGTGTTTTCCTTTCTCCATTCAGGAAATATTCATTGAGCGCCTTTGATGGGCAGGACGCTGTGTTGGAGGCTACAAATACACAGGCACAGACAGAATTTCTCTATGTTCAGAGAAAATGGCAAAGATGTGAAAACAGCACTCATCACAGCATTTCCAAAGGCTTTGTCTCAATCCTTCTCAACCCCTGAGGTCCCTGCCACTACTGACCCTGCTGCTTTCTTCAAGGAACTCTCTCTTCCTTCCTAACTGTATACCCTGGTTGCTGGTTTCTCTTTTTCATTAGCTTTACTTTCTTTCTTTCACTGCATTACATAAATTCTTCCCAATGTTCCATTTGTATACTTCTTTTCTCTTTATGTATTTCCTCTTGTAAGCTTTTTGGAATTTGCCACTCATTATGATATTTCTGCTTATCCTAACAGCACCTTCGTTTTCCCACTGAGGCTTAAAAACTCCACCATCTGTTTGCCCTGTCTCTAATACTCCAGAACCTGTGTTTAATCAGAGGCCAAGTCTTCACATTTGTACCTTGGTATCTCTAACACCTCCTCATTCTCACCTCTGCCACCAGATTATTTTAAGGACTGTTTTACTAACCTCTCCTCTGGCATCCCATCTCCTGTTCCAGCATCCATGCCCAGACAATAGGCAAAAACTTCTTTATAAAAATTATATCAGGCAGGGCACAGTGGCTCACACCTGCAATCCCAGCACTTTGGGAGGCTGAGGTGGGCGAATCACCTGAGGTCGGGAGTTCGAGACTAGCCTGACCAACATGGAGAAACCCTGTCTCTACTAAAAATACAAAATTAGCTGGGGGTGGTGGCGCATGCCTGTAATCCCAGCTACTCAGGAGGCTGAGGCAGGAGAATCACTTGAACCCAGGAGGCGGAGGTTGCGGTGAGCCAAGATTGCGCCATTGCATTCCAGCCTGGGCAACAAGAGCAAAACTCCATCTAAAAAAAAAAAAAATTAGCTGGTCGTTGTGGCAGGCACCTGTAGTCCCAGCTACACTGGAGGCTGAGGCAGGAGAATTGCTTGAACCTGGGAGGCAGAGGTTGCAGTGAGCCAAGATTGTGCCACTGCACTCCAACCTGGGGGACAGAGTAAGACTTTGTCTCAAAAAAAAAAAAAAAAAAAGAAAAGTATATTACTCTTGTATTGGTTCTCCATTGTCCACCAATCTCAAAATTGTCTTTTAGGAAGGCTCTCCACAATATGATTTCAGAGGAACTTTTCCAATCCTATGTCCCCTACACACTTCAACAGAATAGTCTTCACTGTTCTCCAAATGTAACCCTTTCTTTTCTTAAAAAAAAACAAGTTTTAAGTTCAGGGGTATGCATGCAGGTTTGTTACATAGGTAAACTTGTGTCATGAAGGTTTGTTGTACAGATTATTTGTCACCCAGCTATTAAGCCTAGTACCCATTAGTTATTTTTCTTGCTCCTCTCCCTCCTCCCACCTTGCAGCCTCCAAAAAGCCCCAGTGTGTGCTGTTCCTCTCATGTGCTCTCACTATTTAGCTCCCACTTACTTAAAGTGAGAACGTGCTGTGTTTGGTTCTCTGTTACCGCATTAGTTTGCTAGGGATAATGACCTCCAGCTCCATCCATGTTCCTGCAAAGGACATGGTCTCGTTCTTTTTCACAGCTGCATGGTATTCCATGGTGTATATATACCACATTTTCTTTATCCAGTTTATCGTTGATGGGCATTTAGGTGGATTCCATGTCTTTGCTATTGTGAATAGTGCTGCAATGAACACACGTATGCATGTGTCTATATGATAGAATGATTTATATTCCTTTGGGTATATACTCAGTAATGGGATTGCTGGGTCGAACGGTATTTCTGTCTTTAGGACTTTGAGGAATTGCTACACTGTCTTCCACAATCAAATGCAACCCTTTTTTTCCTGACTTCTGTTCATGCATCTCTTTCTTCCAGCTAGCTCATCCTTTGTGTTATTACCTGTTGATACTCTACTATTCTTTATGACTCAATTGAAACTTTCTCCTTGGTGCCTTCCAAGTTCCACCAATGGGATACAGCTTCTTCATTCGATTCTTGATTGAATCCTGCAGTACTTTGCTTGTCTTTTTCCTGGCTTTTTCTTGCTTTTATTTGCATTCGGATATTGGCATGGCTGGATTCTCAGCTGCCTCTAGGGTTGCATGTCTTTTGCTGCCCTGAACAATAACTTTTTCAGGGGAGAAACTTAATAAATATTGGTTGAGTATTATTAAAATGTGTTTCTCTTCTGTTTATCCTTTACCTGCCATTCTTGACCCATTTTGCTACTACCATTTGATTCACAAATATCCCTTAGCTTCTATCCCAAAGATCCAGAATTTACTTTTTATGAGACTTATTCAAATATATTCTCTGTGTCTTTCATCTCATCATGTCTGAAACTCAGTTCCCAGGAGTCACAAAACATTTGTGTGTAGTTTGTAAATGAACACCCCAATTACAGTGGGATTAATCTGGACAGATCTGGATTAAAATGTCTCCTCTGTATTCTCTTTTGATTACCTTCTTTTAGTCTCACAGGCCCTCAGTTTCTGTGTTTGTAAAAAAAAAAAAAAACAAAAACAAAAAAAAAAAAACGCTAATTTCTTCTACCTTGGAGGCTGTCAGAGCCAAAAAAAGAGAAAGTAATTGAAATGTCTAACCAAATAAGACATGGCCAATCCTTCATTAATGTTCAGAAGTTGAAAGGATCCACCTTCATTTTACAGATTGGGAAACTGAGGCCCATCTCTGTGGATTCAGTGGCTGAAGGTCCCCAACTTGAAGGAGGCAGAGCCGACACTAAAATCATTGTCTCTTGACCCCCTGCCTGGTCCTTCTCCAAATAAATGATGCAGATCCTTCCAGGAACAAACCTGGTCGAATGACTGGAGGTCTATGAGGGAGCCGGTGCTGCGTGGGTGTGGGGCTGTCACCAGTCCTTCATCTCACTCACGGGCACTGCCAAAATGTCGATCCCCTCCGTTAGACCAAGAGCCACACAGAGCCTGGTAAGCAGCTCTGAAGGCATTCTGTCAGGCCCTGGCAGCCGTGACATTCTAGATGATTTTTGAGCAGCTGGGCTGACTCAGGGCTGACTCACTTGGCAATGTGGGCAGGAGAGGGAACGACAAGCTGCTGGTGTCTGACCTTTCAGACCTTGTCTCCCTCCTGAGTTTGTAGAGGAGTCCCTGGGGCAGTTGTGACACCCTGTGGCCAGGTCAGCTCATCACAGCACAGTGTCCCTTAATAAAGAGTGCACTGGGCATTTGCTGGGGAAGAAAGGGTGCTCTCCTGAGTTAGTGGATTATTCCTCCTTTTGGCTGCAGCTCAGGCTCACTGCTCCTCCACTGTCTAGCACCACTTCCAGCCTTAATTAAATTTATGTGCAGCCTTTTGGGCCTTAATTGAGAATACCTTCCAAGAAAGTAGATATGAAGAACTGAAAAAGTGAAGGCCACAGGAAATGACTCAGAATCGATATTGAACACTTCTGGAGGACAGAGGATATGTCTTCCATTCCACAGAGCCCTTACTCAAACCATGGCACTGTATACTGTAGGTGCTCAATAAATGTTACTGCATGTTGAATGTGTTCCATGCCCAATAGCTTGACCAAAAGGCTAATAAGTGTCACATGCTGTTGTATTACATTTGATCTATCAATATCAGCTAGACTCATACTTTTAACATTCAATTCACTTGCTCTTGATTGTGACTTCCCAATAATGAGAACTAGAATATTATTACCTTTCTAAGCCTGCCTAGAGAAGTTTAGAAGAATTTGACAGGCATGCTCTGACATAGGACAATTCATTATAGGACAATTAGATGATGCTATTCACACATGTGTGTGCTTCTTTGACTTTCCATGCTTTTGTTTAGCTTTTCTTCACTCAGTATCCCTTCCTCCCATTCCTCTCAATCTCTATTCTTTCTCTTATGGAAAGGCCCCTAGTTTTATTTTTTATGCTTGCTTTTATTCTTTGAGAAAATAGTTTTTAATGAAAGTATTTAGCACAGCAGTGTCAGACTAGAATGAGATTGCATCTAATTGTGCCTCTTCTAGGTGAACTGTGCAGCAAAGCCCACCAGAATTTAATTTCAGGTGAATAGACAGTAAAATCCACAGAAGTGTATGCACTGATTTAACAGGATTTGGAATTATTGTAAAATTATTTAGAAAATCACTGTCATGTCATTTGTGTTGGAGGAACAGGATTTCGAATTATTGCAAAATTATTTAGAAAAGCACTATCATGTCATTTGTGCTGGAGGAACTGACAGGGTGAAATGCATCTCTTGTCATATACTGGTTCCTAGAAGTATCTCAGAGTATTACTGTCTGCTTCTATCAGATAACAAAAATAAAATAAAGAGAGCAAGAACAAGCATCCAGAGCTGGTGACATTCCTGTGGTTGGAGGACAGTTTGGGTAGTGAACAAAGAGAATGGCAGTAGAGAGAACCTAGAGTTGGAAAACGAGGCAAAAGTTCTGCATATCCTAGACAGCTGTACCAGTGTCTGGAGAACCAGCCACAGTGGTCTCAATTCACACTGCAGACTGCCCTTCTGAATCACAGCTAGCAGTAGCTGTTGCCCTCAAACCCTGTGCTCTGCCAGCCACACTGGATCCCATCCAGCATTTATGATGGCCCCATCCCAACCCTGGCCAACCAGGCTCTACATGATTGAGCTCCTGCCTTCCTCCAAACCCGTCCCCATACCCCACTGCCTTACACACCCTGACTGTCCTGCTTTGCACTTGCGATTCCTTCTCTCTAGAACAGGGGTCCCCACCTGATACCGCTGCATGGCCTGTTAGGCAGGAGGTAAGTGGAGGGTGAGAGAGTGAAGCTTCATCTGTATTTACAGGCACCTCCCATCGCTTGCATTACTGCTGGAGCACTATCTCCCGTCAGATCAGTGGTGGCATTAGATTCTCATAGGCGTGCGAACCCTATTGTGAACTGTGCACTTGAGGGATCTAGGCTGCACTGCATGCTCCTTTTGAGAATCTAATGCTTGATGATCTGTCACTGTCTCTCATCACCTCCAGACGGGACTGTCTAGTTACAGGAAAATGAGTTCAGGGCTCCCACTGATTCTACATTATGGTGAGTTGTATAATTGTTTCATAATATATTACAATGTAATATTAATAAAAATAAAGTACACGGTAAACAGTGCCCTTGAATCATCCTGAAAGTATGCCCCACCCGTAGTCTGTGGAAAAATTGTCCTCTGTGAAACCAGTCCCTGGTGCCAAAATGGTTGAGGATTGCTGGTCTAGAACGTGTGTCCCCCAGTCCCTTGCATGGGATGACCCCTCACTTTATCCAGAACTTGCCTTAAATGTTACCTTCCCAAAGGTCATCATTTCTCCTGCCATTCAAAGTGCTCCATCTTTTCATCCTGTTTCATTTGTCTCTATTTTATTTACTATTACTTGAAATTATATTTCATAGTTTTGTGTTATTGTCGATTTTATATCTTTCCATGATGACTGGTCACTGGTCTCTTTTGGTCAGTGTTTAGTACTTAGTAGTTGCTCAGTAAATATTTATAGACTGAAAAAAATAGGCCTGTCTGGTTTTTGTGTGGACCCCCTACCCCCTTTTTTTTTTTTTTTGAGATGGAGTCTCAGTCTTGTCACCCAGGTTGGAGTGCAATGGTGCCATCTCAGCTCACTGCAACCTCCGCCTTCCTGGTTCAAGAGATTCTCCTGACTCAGCCTCCTGAGTAGCTGGGATTACAGGTGCCCAGCACCACGCTTAGCTAATTTTTTTGTATTTTTAGTAGAGACAACGTTTCACCATGTTGGCCAGGCTGGTCTCGAGCTCCTGACCTCAGGTGATCAGCCCGCCTCAGCCTCCCAAATTGCGAGTATTACAGGCATGAGCCACTACACCTGGCTGACCCCTTTCTTATCAAAGTTTTCATCTTTGTCTTGCAGATGAATTATTTAGAGGGAAGCTGGTTTCTAATTGCATATAGTGATGTAACGCTAGATCTCTAAAAATGTCCTACTCTGTAAAACAAGATTGTATTTGTTTTCTAAAAAGTCCTACCAAAGGAGTAATAGAAATTTTGGAAAAGGGAATTAATATTCATTGATCACTTACTATATGCCTGCCATGATGCTAGAGGCTTTCTAAACATTTTATGATTTATTTCTCTCAACAACCATTCTGGAAACTGAGTGTGAGAGAGAATAAATAACTTGACTAAGGCTATATCGCATTGAATAGTATCCTTCCAAACGATATCTCCAAGTCCTAAATCCCAGTTCCTGTAAATGTGAGCTGATTTGGACATAAGGTCTTTTCAGATGTAATTAAGGATCTCAAGATATACTGGATTTTAGTGAGTCTAAGATCCAATGACTATTATCCTTTCAAGAAGAGGAGAGACACAGAGACACACTGAGAAGATGGCCCTGTGAAGATGGAGGCAGAGATTGAAGTGTTGCAGCTACAAGGCGAGGAATGCCACAGATTGCTGGCAACTACCAGAAGCTAGGCAAGAAATGTGGAATGGGACTCCTGCCCTCCAGATCTGCGAGACAATAAATTTCTTTCAAGCCATCCTGTTTATAATAATTTGTTACAGTATCTTTATTTTACTAACACAAAATCTTGGGCTGGTAACGGCAGAGCAAGGACTTGAACCAGGATCTGTTGAATCCAAAGCCTGTACTCATTTCACTATCCCAGTTCACTTCCCTGAATTCTATAGCAGAGGAGTCATCCTTGATCAACATATTATAACAATTAAGGAAGATGTAAAAGCACAGCCCTATAACCAAATGAAATCTGCAAGCACAGTTGTTACCTTTGGTCATAGTATCACTTATATTCATGGCCAAAGTGCAAAGAAGACCTCACACAAAAGAAACTCTTAGCTGACTCCAAATAGAAAGGGTTGCAAATTCCAGGAAAGCGAGGAGAAGAGAGATGCAGAGGAACTTAGCAGCAATAGCTATGAGAGTAGAAAATAATAGAGAGATTTAACTGGAGGGAAAGAGCAGCCCCTCCCTTTGAAGAGAAATATTCAAAGCACGCAGGCGACTTGAAAAAGAGCCGTGAAGAGAGACATGCAGGCGGCAAGTCGGATTTAGACCAGTCATGCAATGCTATAGAAAAAAAAAAAGGAGCTAATATCATTTCAAAGTTCACTTTCAGAGGTGGAAAAATCACATAGCTGGCAGGTTGCAAAGTCCCTTTTTACGAGGCTCTAATGAGAAGATAGATTATTTCTGAGTCACTTCAAACCAGAAAGTAGAAATGCAGCAGGGCAAGGTAGGAAATTGATAAAAGGGTTAAACAAAAGTAATGCATGCAGAGGATAGATTGATTTCTGGGGACAGATTAAAAGCACTAAATATGTATTCTTGATGAGGTGATAATTAAGGTCACTGGGGAAGCCAAAGGAGCTGTCTGGGAGATGAGAGGTCAGCATGCAGACAAGTGTGGAATAGCATACAAAAATCTCACACAGGCAAGCAGGTAAGTGGGAGTGATGGGGTGCAATCCACAAAGGATCATTCACAAAGTCTCAGCGCAACCTCCTGACAGCGTGAAGTTTATTGCTTCTCTATGTAACTCAAATTTCAAATGACCTTTCGCTTTTCCACGAGTGAAGTCATTTCCTTTGAGGAAAGGTGCTATATAAATGTAAACATGTAAGTCTGAGGTGGACAGAGTGCTAGAAAATAAACACATCCCGGAATCCTCCTGCCCTGATCCTCCAGAGACAGACTGGATGTGACCTCATGGATCTTTCTTTTCATCTTCTACTTATGGGAATCGTACCTGACACCACCAATTTTGTGGACCCTTTCCACCTGGGGAAACTCACAAATAAGTGATATTACTGGAGACCACAGTGTTTTAATAAAAACACTCTGAGATCCGTCTTCACCCAGCATTTCTGGAAGAACAGTTATGTGGCTAACACTAGTGAGTCTGGAAAGCCCATCAGCAGGAAAGACTGGGTCCTGATAGCAGCAGTGTGACTTAGCTCTGTTATAGGAATATCCAGGAGTAGACTCTTGTAGAAATCAAGTTTGCCCACTCTCTCTGCGTGTGCATGTACATTTCAGTTCCTTTGAAGCTTAGCATATATTATTTAAGGTTCAATTCAAATGTTCCTTCTTCTGAGGCCTTCCCTAAATCCCAGGTCTGCAGTGAGCCCTCTCTGCCCCGGGTATTGTACCTCTATTTCACTGCTTGTCACAGTCTGAGTTGTCACTTACTGATCTCGTTCCTTTAATGGCCACTGTGGCCCAGGCGCTGGGAATCAGAGGCCAAAAGGATGAGTGCAATATTTTGCTTCTGTTCACCCCCACCGCACAGCCCATCTCATAGGACTGCACTGACCAGCAGCGTCTAATTACCTCTTAACAGGAAAGACACTAAGTGTGATTTTCTCCCAGCTGTGAATTAACTAAAAAGGTCACCCAAAAATGTGATTTTTCTCCCCAAGGAAAAGTGACATCAAAAGCTAATGAAATCTGAACTTTATCATTTCCCACTGAACTTTTCATTTTGTTTTAGGACATTAAAAGAGAGAAAGAAGCATGGAGAAAGGGAAGAAGTGGAAGTCAGGGGTAGATCTTAAAAGGCTCTTCCACATTAGTAAGTGATCTTTGACCTTAGGCCACACACCAAGTGTAGATGGGTCACTGGTAAATTAAAGGCATTGTAGGAGGTTCAGTGTCACGTCTATTAAAAAAGATATATTGAGTACTTATTATATGCTTGACGTTATAATTGATAATAAGTATCTCTCGGGCCTAGTATGGTGCCTCATTCATAGCAGGCACTTGATATATATATATTAGCTTTTAAATGAATGAGTGAATAAAGAGGTTTGAACCTCAGCACTCTGGCCACAGACCCCTGAGGGTCCTCATTACAGAAGGGCCTACGAAATTTTCTGAACTGAAAGTCATTTTTAAAAATCTTTTAGAACCTAAATGATCTCTAATGATAGTTACTGCCTACATTTTTTCTGCATTCTGAGAGGACAAGCAACTACAAAGTAGGAGCAGAACCTGTATCCCAAGAGAAGGAGTTAGCGCCAGAGGGTCCAGCAAAATAGGGATGTGCCTGAGACAGCAGGATCCACGGAGGGTCTGTAATGAGGAGGGCAAAACGGGCATCTTAGAAAAACTCCATGTCTTTACCAGAGATTTCAGTAGATCAGTCTATGATCCACTTTCCCATTTTCTGGTGCAGTAAGGATGGGAGTCTAGGATCAAATAAATCTGCATGTCTTACCACACTCTCTGGTTTAGCAGTTCTCAAATTTGAGATGCCTAAGAATTATTAGCACTATACATGTGACATAAATATTCATTTACATAGCACTAACAAAATTCCAGGCATTTGGAAAAGCTAATTAAATGCAGATTCCCTAGGCCTCATCCCTAAGGATTCTCATTCAGTAGGTCTGGAGCTAGAGCCCAGAGATCTATATTTTTAATAAAAGCCCCAAATGAGTCTGATGAGGGTGGCCCTGGGAGGAAACCTGGAGAAAGATATTTTAGCTCCGTTTGCTTTATCACCTTAATAGACCTGCTGGTGTCATCAGGAATGTAATGAGCCCCATCTAAAGTGGGGAGAGGTCTTTAAATCATCTTAGCCTCATCCTAATGGCTTGCAAATAAGTTGCCATAGCACCAAGAAGTTAGTAATTCTTAAACAAAATTGCAGTTGTTTAAAGGCAAGACTAGGCAGACATGGTTTTTGCCTCCTGTTTCTTTATTTAAATTATCTTCTCTGATATCAAACTTAGTAGCATCCTGCATAGTTTGGAATTAAAGAGTATTTCTGTTTGTTGGTTATAATTAGCCCCCTCTAATGAATATTCCATCAAGACTTCAGTTTCCAAGATATGCATGAGAAATGTTAAATCTCAGGCAGAAGTATAATATAGTGGGAAGCCCTGCTCAGTTTCTACCTTATAGAAATGTTATGATTAAATATTTTACCCATAGGAAGTCCTCAATTAATATTATTCCACTAATATTGCATAATCATTGACCCAATAGGAATAATATGTTTTGTTTTTGAAATGGCAAATCAACACTTTCGTATCAAACTTCTGTTATGAAGTACTTGCATTTTAAGAAAAAATCTCTTTCTCTCTCGCTCTGGCTGGCTGTGTGTGTGTGTGTGTGTGTGTGTGTGTGTGTGCGCATAAAGTTGAATCACACAGAATTGCCATTATTAACCATTTCTGATCTATGAAACAGCAATCTTATACTGTCTACCTAGTATATTATATACTTATGTCACAGCCCAAGAAATGAAAAAGCTTTTTAATTTAAAAATAAAAAATATACCTATGATCACAGTTTTGACAATACCATATTCTTACCAATTGAACGAAAATTTGACAATACCACTTGTAGCTCCAATTGTCAGAACTCATCATAAATTACAGAATATTTACATACATACAATTGATTAGTAGACAGGAGGAATTTCATGCTCAATTCTGTACTAGAGAGTTTTATATTTTTAATGTAAATCATTCTGACTTTAGTCAGAGGCATCATTTCTCCTACTGAATGGAAGAAAGCCAGTTTGGGCAGTTCTTTCCAATCTCATGTGTCTAGTCCTTACAGCAGAAGAAAACAGTGACTCTGAAAGGTCACAGGAATATTATTGTTGGCTATCGACTCTGAAATCCAAACAGCCGTCAGATTGCAGAAAACATCAATTCTGTCGAATGACACTAGTCCAAATTCCTGTCAAAGGGTCAATAAATTGTGTAAAAGCAGGACCCTTTATAGAATGCAATTAGAAATCACAGATCAAAGGGGAAGTCAGGCCAAAGGTACTTTGCTAAGGCTAAGAAGGGACTTGAGGAATAGATTTTTACATGTGAGCAGAGAGTGAAGGTTAAAGGAGGCAAGATAACATTTAAACTGGAAATGGGATCATAATGTTTGTGATGGTAAAGGATTACAACACAAATCCTGCCCTACCAGCAAGCAATCGCTCCTGGTGACAGAAGAAGCAGAAGAGATAGATGAAGTAGCAAAAGTCCCTTTTCACAATACTTACTGTGAGCTAAAGACATAGGACTAGCCCTTTCAGTTTCTTTCCTTTTCTTCTTTTTGAGTCAACTTTATTGAAGTATAATTTACAAAAGGAGGAGGAAATTGAGGGGTAGAGATGGACAAGCGAAGTATATGTCTGAAATGTGACAAAGTGACAGGTGACTGGTAACAATTCATTAATCAACCAAATATTTTGTCTGAGTGAAGCCAAGTATAACAATATTTCCAAATCTATGACTCTATAGAAACATCAAGTGACTCAACATTATGTAGGCATAGGATAAAGCTGTGCCAGGGTCAACAGCAAGTTAAATCAATAACAAAATCAGACAAGAGGTGTCTAGTTCTATATTTACCCATTGATCAGGCATTTTGAAGACAGTGTCCTCTACTTGCTCATTCTTTTCTCCTTTCCCATTTTATCACCCTGCCCACTGCAATTTGTACAGTCCAACCTCTATAGTAACATCATACAATGACCACCAATCTAATCCAACGACAAGTTTTCCATCTTCATTTTTTTTTTTTTTTTTTTTTTTTTTTTTTTTTGAAGTGGAGGAGTCTTGCTCTGTCACCCAGGCTGGAGTGCAGTGGTGCTATCTCGGCTCATTGCTACCTCTGCCTCCCGGGTTCAAGCGATTCTCCTGCCTCAGCCTCCTGAGTAGCTGAGATTACAGGTGCCTGCCTCAATGCCCAGCTAATTTCTGTACTTTTAGTAGAGACGGAATTTCACCATGTTGGCCAGGCTGGTCTCAAACTCCTGACTTCAGGTGATCCACTTGCCTCAGCCTCCCAAAGCGCTGGGATTACAGGGGTGAGCCAATACTCCTGGCCCATCTTCATTTTATTGTATTGTGACAATTGCTATCCTAATCAGCTTAATCTCCCTGCCCCAACCTCCTGAAACTCTTTTCTTCTGTGGTTTACCTTCCACTTCCGTGGGAGTATTTTTTTTTTATTTCCTGTTGACATCTTTTCTTATATTGATGCCCCCTATCAATGTATGTATAACCCCAACACTGTCATCCCTATTAATTAATTTTTCATTTTACAACAGTCTTTCCCTGAGTTTCCATCTGCTTCCAGAACTTTTATATATGTTGTTGACTTTTAAATCTATTTTTTAACCTCTGTCCACAATATAAAACTCACATTTCTAACTCTGTGGCTTTGAGTAGTTTTGAATCTTCTTAACATGTCAATCAATGTCTTTGCACCCATGCCAGCTGTCCAGAGGTGAACCGGAGCCTCAGTGCTCTGTTACACTCAGATTAGATTGCCTCAAAGTCCATGGAAGGTTTATTGCCTTCTCCACTGTGCCATCTCCACCGGGATGGCGTGTGGCCTTCTCAGGTTCAGCATAGCACAAGGAATATTTTTCATTTCCTCTACATCTGTTCCTGCAATTTGTGTTGCCTATTTTAGTTAAAGCCACAGTAACCATCAAATAATCTCATAATCATCTTACCTTCTTCCTCCTTACCCCAGATCCCACTGGACACCACCTGCATCAAACCTACTCCTGAAGAGCTCTCAGATGTGTTCCCATATCCCATTCCTCCACTCTAGTCTTTACCACAGTCCCTCATCACATCTTTTCCTAGGCTGGTTTTTAGTCAATAGTCTGTTTTTAGTCTCCCTGGCCCTCTACTCTACTTCCAATGCTAGAATTAATCTCCCGCATTGCTGGCAGAGGCATCTGGAAGGCAAATCTGCTAGAATTACTCTCATTTTTAGATTTCTTCAGTGACTCTCCATCACCCTCAACATGCTGCTTAATGTGTCACTCAAGACATTTGACATTCTAGTCCTAACCTTTTCTAAAGGCCCATCCTTTTGGTATCCTAATTACTTTATCCAAATTGCCCTGCCATGAACTCTCACCATTCTAGTTTTCTTTGCTCATCTTAGAACAACTTTGCTCATTCTCTATAAACTACCTTCACTGCCTGGTCAACTCCACACCCAGTTTGGTTGTCACCTTCAGAAAGAAGCCTCCAATAGGCCATAAAGTTACTGTTAATTGTCTCTTCTCTTTGTCTACACAACACTTTCTTCTTACGATCAGTAGATTATATGACAATCTGGTTTTTTCCACTTCATTCCTTCATTAAGTAAATGAAAAAATATCTTTTGAGCACTTACTTGGAGTTGACACTGTTCTAAATAACACTGTTCTAGGGACCAACTGTGTGATGGAAGCTGCTCAGGCCAGCTCACAAGAGTCAATTGTGCACATTTTTCCTAACATCACATTCAGTGATGTAGTAACAGTAGCTTCAAACTGGCCATGACAGGAATATTTACACCAGAGGGATTGGCAAACACTACAAATCAAAGCTCATTTCAAACCTGTTTTATCAGTATTCCATCAGGGTACCACCATACCTAAATCTTCTTACTAATGAAACATGTAATTCTAGTGAAAGAAAAGCAGACCACACAAATGCTAAATAAGAAAATAATTTATAAAAGTGCTTGAAGGTGCTAAATACTAAGAAAACAATAGAACAAGGTGGAGTATTCCAGGTATTGGGTATTCATGTGAACAGCAATATTATCAAGAATTAAGAAAAGAGCAGGGCTGGAAGAAAGTGACAATAAGGATGAGCTAAATTCATCCAGAAATTAAGGCAAGAGCCCCAGGGTCAGTAAATGATTTCAACCATTAGGGGCAGAGTATAACAGTTTAATACATAGAGCTCGATGCATATATTATTCATTTTGTTTTATTCCCAGTGCCTGGCAGAGTGTAATAGATGCTTACAGTTAAAACAGATAGAATCTTCTATTATCCAGAGCCAGCTAACTAGTTCTGGGTTGCACATTCTTCTGTTCTTAGGATTTATTTTTATTAAAACCAACAACTCAGCGGGATAAGTTTCTTCCCTTACCGTACAAAGTTTGCAGCAGCACATTACCCCACCTCCCTTAGGAGATGGAAAGGAATCCACCTATCCATTAATTATTTGAACTACTTTGAATAACATCCCTAGAGATTGGTCTTTTCACTCAGGACTTCTCAAACATTAACATGCATATAGATCACTCAAGAATCTTACTATGCTACATATTCTAATTCAGTAGGTCTGGGATGGGGTCTGAAATTCTGCATTTCTAACAAGCTCCCTGGTGATGGAGATGATGCTGTTCTGAAGATCCTACTTGGAGTAGCAGAGCTTGGGCTTTAACCAACATTTGTTTTCATCCCTCAATAGAAAATGCCCTCTTTCTGGGAAACGTCATGCCTTCTTTAGGTAGCTGGTAAGTACTCGTGACTTACTTTCTGTGATCTGAAATCTGGCTCAGGTAATTTCCTACTTTACAATTCCTAGTTCTAGCTCTTATAAACACACTGAATAATCCTAATCTCTCTTTCACATGGCAGCCTTTAAGTACTTCACAGCAAGCCTTCTCTGTCTGAGCTAAATGCCCACAGCTCCTCCTGCCACTCATCTGGCTAAGCAGCTTTGAACATGCCAGACACTGTCTTCTCACCCACTAACTGTCCACGCACCAACCGGTGTCCTACTGCCCCATTAGATCCAGCTAAAGTCACCTACAAGTTCATGGGACCTCGACTGCCTTCACCATGCTGCAGTTCTCCAATGGTTTGGGATCTTACGTTCCAAAACCAACAAACCTCTCGCTCCGATTCCTGCTTTAATTTGTTTTCTTCTTTAAGGTACCTGTAAACCAAAAAGTATCTGAGACAAGTCTTAATCAATTTAGAGATTTATTTTGCCACGGTTAAGAACCATGGCCTGTAACACAGCCTCAGGTGGTCCTGAGAACATGTGCCCAAAGTGATTGTGTTACATCTTGGCTTTATACATTTTAGGGAGACAAAAGTTACAGACAAAGACATGAATCATTATATGTAAGGTATACATTGGTTTGGCCTGGAAAGGCAAGACATCTTGAAGCAGGGAAGCTTCCAGATCATAGGTGGAGTCAAAGATTTCCTGATTGTCAATTGGTCGAAAGAATTGAAATCAGCTTGAGTTAAGGTCAGTTAAGGGGAGAGGGATATTGCAGAAGCCAAGGTTCTTGTCATGTAGATAAAGCCTTCAGGCCAGCCGGCTTCAGAGAGAATGGATGGTAAAATTCTCTTATTGAAACTTAAAAGGTGTCAGACACTCTGGAAAAGACCTAGTAAGAAAGAAGGTTCTCTACCGAGTGCAAATTTTCCCCACAAGAGACAGCTTTGCAGGGCCATTTCAAAATACGTCAAAGAAATATATTTGGGTGTAAAATACTTTCATTTCCTTCAGGGCCTGCTGTCCTGTGATGCTGTACGAGAGTCAGGTTGGAATTCGGTATTTTCTTGCTATAATGAGTCTGTTTTGTCAGTCTTAAGATCTCTGTTTTAATGCCGGTCACTGTTGTCTAAACTCCGAAGGGAGGAGGGTGTGATGAGGCATGTCAGACCCCCATCCTTCCCCTCCCCCGACCCCATCATGGCCTGAACTAGTTCTTCAGGTTTTTTTGGAATCCCCTTGGCCAAGGCAGGGCCCATTCAGCCTAAGTTTATTCAGGAGCTTAGAATTTTATTTTTTGTTAATATGCCTTTAGCTCAAAATTATCCTTAGGCAAAAGTGGCTAGCATATTTTGGGGTGGCATATTGTGCTACCCTTCAGGGGCTTCTATTTGCATATTCAAAGACTCATGGAGGTGATGCATCCTGCTGCTGGTCAAAGGCAGATCTCTTAGGGTCTCATCCTTCCTCTTCCCCCTACAATCTCCCAAAAAGTGAAGAGCACTATGGAGGTTTTATCTCCAGCTGAGGGTGATGGTTCTCTCTTTCCCTCACAATTACTAAGTAGAGAAGCTAGAGTCTGATTTGGGTTGGAAATTTGGGGTTTATTTGTTAAATTCCTTTGAACTGGGCTCAAAACAAAAGGCAATACTCCAGGTGTGTTCTGACCTCTACTGAGCAGAACACTCACAGCCTGCCCCCATTTTAAATACCAGCCACTTGTGCATGCAGGGTAAGATCAAATTAACTTTCTTGGCAGTCTTGTGGTTCTGTTGACTCACCCTGAGTTTACAGTAAACTTCCGCCTCTGAGGTTTTTTCATGTAGCTGCTGCTTTCACAGTATCTTACAAATAGGCTTGTTCTTCTAATATGAACCTCTTCTCTGGCCTCTGTTGCCTGTGAGTATCATGCTTTAAAAAATCCCACAGAAATGTACGTTGTCTTTCTGATTAGATTACCAAGGGGGAAAAAATACCTTGACAGAAAAGGCTGCAATAAATCAGCAAAGATTTCCACATCCTGTTGTAAATTGCAACAGGATGCAATTCACCTTGTAGGATCTGACATTAACTCTTTCTTCCTGGGATTGGTGAATATTCCTCCCTCTAAGTCTTTCTCCTGATTTGGGGTTGAGTTCAAATTCTAGGCCCCAGAAAAACTGAATGACTCTGCAGACAAAAACATTAAAGGGATGTTTCACATCATCTATATTGAAAAATTCTCAAAATTAAATTTGATTTCCTCCTGGTTTGGTGTTATGGATCACCAGTGGTTGGGGTGTCTGCTAATTTAAGATGGCTGCACATCGCAAATATGCAAATATATTGGTGACACTCTTTAGACAATAAAAAGTTGCTGAATTTAAAGTGTCACAGAAGTTCCTCTAAAACATTGATTTTTATTTTGTTGCTCTTTCTTTGTTCATCCACACACCCTGAGCATACCTATATCATATAGTTTATCATAAACTAATAATTTAATGCAGTGCCCATTATCAAATTGCAAGCTACCAAGAGCAGATACAAGATACAAGTCCTGTTCAATTTTGCAGTCTAGTTTAGTCACAATTTCAATCTTGACCTCACATCAGGATCATCTGGAGGTCTTGTTAAGACACAGATTCCCAGATCCCACTCCTGAGTTTCTGATTCAGCAGGTCTGAAGTGGATCTGAGAATTTTCACTTTTAACATTTCCCAGGTGACAATGAAGCTGCAAGTTCAGGGAGCAGACTTTGAGAACCACTGATCCAGAGCACAGGACAGTGTGAATATCACGACCTCTACAAATACTTTATGAAAGACAAAAGGCAAGAAAGTGGTGGGAAACACAGAAGGAAAAAAAAATACGTGATTAGGGAAGCAAAACATGTGATTAGGGAAGCGAAGTTAAGTACTGATTTTGGACCTACCTTGGAACGTCTCAACAAAGTATGAAGCAGAGTTTTTGCATTCAAAGTCTAAATCAGAAACATTCCTTTTATTCTTCCCCATAGATTTGCGGGAAATAATTTGGATTTGGTTGTTTCCCATTTTAAACTCTAAACTGTATTATCTAGTTAGTCTAGGGAACTCCTTTGTTTATCTGTTTCTCCCTGGGGCAGAACAGTGAGCAGCCCCAGGCTGACTTTTTTAGCTGTCGCCCAAAGTACATTCCACATTCACATCCAAGAAAGTGTCTCTTCACAACTAAGGGCCCCAGGTAAGCATTTCAAATCCATCATCACATGCTAAAAATTTTAATTTTTCTTGAAGTATTTGATGTTGCTTAATCTTAAACTTTTGTTTACTATTATGTGGACCAAAGAACCACTGGGTTGACTAAGTTTTTCTCTTTCTCAGTCTGCTGTGTTGGAGGTTTGGCATTAACCCAACAGTATGGTGGTAGTGACATTCAACTATCCACATATATCACAACCACAGTGCTGTCATGTCAAAAGAGACGAAATGACTATCTTCCATTGAATGTATTATGCTACAGAAAGAGGAGATCACCTTTTTAAACCGGTAGTCAAATTAAATCCCTAATAGAAAACAATGTTTTTGCCCCTAAGAGACATTAAAAGTTTGATGTTCCATTGGTGGAGATGGGGGGGACATGTAGTCTTTTTGGATGCATAGCTCTGCTACTTATTTGATCTGTGAACTTGCACAAGTGGTGTGTTCACAGAAGCATGGCCTCATCCATAAAATGGGCACAATTAAAGTTAAGATAAAAATTTGAGATAGGGTCTGTTAAACAGAACACAAAACCCCAGCATATGGTTGGCATTTAATAAGTAGTCGAGGGAAATCTGGATGAATTGTTATGAGTACCTGGGTTGTTTTGCTTTGCTTTGTTTTTCCTACAAGAGTATGTCGTTTACAAATCTTTTTCCCCCCTAACTTTTTGAGAAAGCATGCATTGTTCACCTGGCTATTGTAACAATTCTCACATGACCTCTGTTTGTTATGCCAAGTTATTTGTTAGAATAAATGGATTTTTTAACAAGAAGTTTTCACGAGAATGAGGTGTTTGGGGGAGACAATGCAATGTGTCCTATGATTGAGTTCTATAACCTGGATCGACTAAAACGGTATTAAACCCAAGAATAGGTCAACACAAATTAACTCCTAGAACTACACATACCCTACCCCACAGGTGCCAATACTCCCTACCACAGCTACTGATATAGAAAGCAGTAAATGAAGTGTGCATCAGCCCAGGCACCAGACTTCTCTGCCCTCAGCTGTGATTCTCAGCTTTGGTATCTGAAACATCATTTGATGGCTGGTGACCTTTGAGTCTCAGCAACCTAGCAACTTCTGCTTCCTAGGATTTCTGGTCTGAATTCCTCCTCCTTTCTGATTTTCTTGTGTGTGTTCTCTTTCCATCTCTTCCTACTTTGCAGAGCCTGAGATCTAGTACTCCTCAAGAGGAAGGCTGGTTTCCTCAATCTTTATCCATATACAGGCAGTAACACCTTCAAGGATGTATCTCTCTGTCTGGGTTTGTGTGGGTTGGATCAGACAGCAGGTAGAAAGGGAGTGTAATATGCATTCACAAGAGCCAACCCGCACAGTTTAGCTAAATATGTTTGGAAGCAAAAAAGTCACGTACTTTAAAATTATGCAAAGTGTGCTTCCCGTGTCATATTCCACATAGCCACCTTGTGTTTGCCAAGATGCAGTTTCTTGTCAGCAAGTCACTAGCGATGCAAACCCAACTGGAGCAAAAATCACCAACTTGGAAGCCCTGTGATAGGCCAGATCTCATTTATAGATATGTTTCATGATGCTCACAGGGTCCAAACTCATTGCCAACATTTGAAAATTAGGAGATTTTACATTAAATTCAGATTTCCAGCTTCCCTTGAAAAATCAGAAGATCTGACTTGAGCCCACATTTTGGTATGCAGCAACTGACTGACACTGAATAGCAGCTGTTCTTTTCAATGGGCAGAGTTCTCCGGTATGCTGCCGTCATCCTGCCTGGATACCTGCCAGGTCTCTGCTGGTGAATCCTGCAGCTCAGCATCATGTCGTATATAGTGGTCTCTCAGGGAAGGCAGTTCAAGGCCTCCTTTGCTTTGCCTCTACCACTTTATGCCTCTCAGGACCCAAGCATTTTACTTTTCAGTGAGAAGGTTGCAAGGCTATTCAGTTTGAGCCACATTTCTCTGCATAGTGTCTTATCAACAGAGAAAAAAGAACGTTGTGTTTAGGCAAATATTCTTGCTTGCTCTTGCATTCCCCTACTTTAAAAATCTAAGATTGGAAAGTGAATTTGGGGAAAAGGACAAAGAGCAGTCCCTCTTCTCTGCTTTGGTTCTAGCTCGAGCCTGTGTCTAACCAAGGCAAAGAAAGTCTTGCCCTAACATAGTAGAGATTATTGTAGTTTGTGACCAAAACCTTGTAGTGATATTTCTGGTGTTTCTCTCCAGAAACACCTGAACTGCAGGATGAGAAAGGGATAAAGCTGTTCTGGATCTCAGATAATATATCCACATACTAGCAGGATTATAAAATACTGGTTTTAAAAATACTGCATTAAAAACAAATGATGTCACTGTTGTGTCATTACTTGGTGTTAAAGCACTTGTAAATACTAATGAAAATGCAGGCGCAGAAAGAAGATAAGACTTGGTTTCAAAGTGGTCCTCCAGCTTAGCAATACATGTTTCTCTTATGGTTTATAGATATCATCTCAAATAAAATAATAATTCATAAACCTTTGACAATATGTCCATGCACTGCCTGCCTAGACTTTCCTTACCCCAGCTTGAGAAACACAAAATTTGCATAACAGTTGTTCCTCTATAGCACATTCCCCTTGAGACATCAGAA
Organism: Homo sapiens; assembly: GCF_000001405.40. NCBI lineage: Eukaryota > Metazoa > Chordata > Mammalia > Primates > Hominidae > Homo > Homo sapiens. Next base: position 86,607,803 of record NC_000015.10, on the reverse strand, counting down.
ATCAAAAAAGCAAAGCACATCTTAAAACTCAACAATAAGAAAATAACCCAATTTTTAAAAGGGCAAATGACCTGAACAGGCACCTCACTAAAAAAGATATATACATGTCAAAAAGGCTTACAAAAAGATGTTCAACATAGTAAGTCATTAGGGAATTACAACTCAAGCAACAGTGAGATACCACTACACACCCAGTAAAATGGCCAAAATATAAAACACCAAATGCTGGTAAGGATATGGCGTAGAGGGAACTCTCACTCATTGCTGCTGGGAATGCAAAATGCCACAGCCACTTTGAAAGACAGTTTGGTGGTTTCCTACAAAATCAAACATACTCTTACCATAGGATACAGTAATCCCATTCCTTGCCATTTACCCAAATGAGTTGAAATTGTATGTCCACACAAAAACCTGCTCACAAATGTTTAAAGCATTCATTCAAGAGGAGGTTCATTCAAGAGAATGAACCAAGCACATCAAAGATTTGGAAAGTAAAAAGGGCTTGAAATAGAAACCCCAATTGGCTTCCAATCCCCAGATGCACCTGATTCATGATAGCTAAAGCTTGGAAGCAATCAAAGTGTCCTTCACTAAGTGAATGGATACATACACTGTGGTACCTCCAGATAATGGAATGTGTAGTGTGAAAAACAAGTCAGCTATCAAGCCATAAAAAGAAATGGAGGAACTTTAAATATATATTGCTAAGTGAAAGAAGCCAATCTGAAAAGGCTTCATACTGTATCATTCCAACTATATGACATTCTGGAAATGGCAAAACTATGGAGAGAGTTTTTAAAATTCAGTAATTTCCACCAAGGGAAAGAAGGAAGGATGAGTAGGGGAAGCACAGGGGATCTTTAAGGCAGTAAAACGACTCTATATGACACTACAACATAGGATACATGTAATTATACATTTGTCAAAACCATTGGAATGAACAACACAAAGAATGATCCTAATGTAAACTATGGACTTTGGTTAGTAATACAGATATTGGCTTATCCATTGTTACAAATGTACGACACTTATGCAAAATGTTAATAATAGGGGAAGCTGGGAGGAGAGAAAGGGGATATATGAGAACCCTCTACTTTCTGTTCAATTTTTCTATAAATCTAAACCTGCTCCCAAAAAAGCCTGTTAATTATCTTTAATCAAAGCATGCTAATTTCACAGAGTTCAAGAGAGGAGGAGTAGGGTCTGGTTCTGTGTCTTGTCTCTAAACACCATTTTACTCTCACTTTATTCTTAACAAGATTTCAGAACAAAAGCAGATTAAATTCTATTTAATGGTGAGTTGTTCAACAATTATCAGGTGTCCAATAATGTCAGATACCAATAAACAGCGTCTTTATATCCCTTCCCTGGAGTGTAACTTAGACGAAGATAATTTTGGCCATCTCTCTGTCTTTACTGATTATTTTACTAAAACTAATCTCACGCAGAAAACTCTATACTGTTGAGTGTCCTTGCCAAATTTACCAGGGAGCTCTGTTTCTAAGGAGATTGTGGAAGGAATGTTTTCACTCCCCCAAATATGCCATTTTGCTTAAACAGAACCACAGTAGCCAAATCTCAGACCTTAGTCTGTAGAATAGAAGCCGATTAATTCAATAACTAGAACACTTTGTCACTCAGACTCCTTTCTTCTTTACTCTTTTTTTTTTTTTTTTTGAGATGGAGTCTTGCTCTGTCACCCATGCTGGAGTGCAGTGGCACCATCTTGGCTCACTGCAACCTCTGCCTTCTGGGTTTAAGCGATTCTCCTGCCTCAGCCTCTCTAGTAGCTGGGATTACAGGTGCCTGCCACCACGCCAGGCTAATTTTTGTATTTTTAGTAGAGACAGGGTTTTACCATGTTGACCAGGCTGGTCTTGAACTCCTGACCTCAGGCGATCCACCTTCCTTGGCCTCCCAAAGTGCTGGGATTACAGATGTGAGCCACCATGCCTGGCTTCTTTACTCTTTCAACCAATGCTGCCTCCTCTAGCCCAGCCCAAACCACACAACATACACACATGCACACACACATACACACACACACACTCACATACAGCCTGAGTCCACGTCAGTAAAATATGAACTTTTTGCGATATTCTGAAAAATCAAAACCTGGCTTCAACTGGAGATTGGACTAGCAAAATCAACGTCAATGTCTTAACCTCTGAGGGCAATTTCTGTCTTCCATGTGTTGTTAAGAATGAACCAGGTACATCAGAGATTTAGAAAGTAAAAAGAGCTTGAAATACACAGCCCAACTGGCTTCCAATCCCCAGTTGCACCATCATCCTCCATACCAATTTCCCTCAATGTAGAAGTTAATGCTTACTGCCTGCATTGTATCAAAGGACAGTTTTTAGCTGCTGCACAGATTTGTGCAATAAATCCACAAAGAACTAGATTGAGAAGAAAGAGACATCAGAAATCAAAAAGCAAAGCATGCTGATTTCACAGAAAACTTAAAGATGTAAGATTCTTTTTTTTTTTATTTAAAAAGTCACCAACAGGACAGAAAACCTACCATGTCTCATTTGTAATGAAAAGGATATTCCTTTAAGAACAGGCTTGTTGATAAAAGCTGAAGGAATGTTAGCTGTATTTCTTTCAAACAATGTTGTTTACTATCTTCAACTTGAAAATTTGTTCTTTTTAAAAAAAATATTCTTCATGTCACCAGTTTTGACTACCACATATGAAAGAAAGGTGAGCTGAGCGCGGTGGCTCACGCCTGTAATCCCAGCACTTTGGGAGGCTGAGGCAGGCAGATCACCTGAGGTTGGGAGTTCGAGACCAGCCTGACCAACATGGAGAAACCCCGTCTCTACTAAAAATACAAAATTAGCCGGGCGTGGTGGCGCATGCCTGTAATCCCAGCTACTCAGGAGGCTGAGGCAGGAGAATTGTTTGAACCCAGGAGGCGGAGGTTGCAGTGAGCCGAGATCACATAATTGTACTCTAACCTGGGCAACAAGAGCAAAACTCCATCTCAAAAAAAAAAAAAAAGAAAGAAAAGAAAAAAAAAGAAAGAAAAAGAAATGTGAAAATAGCAATCATTGCAATTCATAATAATTTATATATAATTTTAATTATTGGGCTCATTCACCTGCCTATCCAACTACTAAGAAGTAGAAAAGAAAATTTTGTTACCTGTTAATTGAGGTTGGTATATGTCAACCCAACTGTACAGGTATTATTAAAAGGTAAGGCACATAGAAAATATAGCACAGGAAAAGAAGAGGCAGATAAATGTGTGGTGATCCACAAGCTAGTTCAGCCACTGTGTAATTGAGAGTTAACTGAGGAGTAAATATTGCCTGGCCTCGGGATCAGAAAACATGGATTGAAATTTTAGCTCTGTTCATGATTAGATGGGTAACTTTGGCCAAGTCCCATAACCTCGATGAAAATTTAGCTTTCTTTGAACCTATTAAATGAAAATATTACCTTCTTTCACAGGGTTGTCATGATAAATAATTATAATAAAACAAATAAAAGTGTGTAGATCTGACATATGGTAGGTAATTGATAACTGTTGTTTAATGAGAATGTTAATTATCATCTAATTGCCTACAATTTCATATTACAACTTTGTAATTTTTATTTCTTTGCTTGTTTGTTGAGTTTTTGTTGCTCCCCTAAGAAAAACATCTATTTTAATATCTGCTGAGGTGGCCCCGATGAGTTTGTTAGAAATGGATGTAATTTTAACACAATTTGTATAGGTGGATGGTCGATATGATGAGCTAATGGTGTAAGAAAATGCTTGCCTGAAATTTCACATTGTGTGAATCTTAAAGCAGAAATATTTGGGGATGGCTCAATAGTTCTGTCTCTAGTGGCAGAATCTGAAACACCCTTTTGAAATCTCTGAGGGACAATCTGTCCTCCTTCGTCTTGGAAAAGAAAGTGGAAATTTGCTACTCAGGGGCTATAGTAGAAAAACAAAAACAACAACAACAACAACAAAAACAAATGGCAAACAGACTGCTGCAAATGTCCACAGGGCCCTCTGGGTTCCTTCCACTAAAGGATAAGCTTTCACATTTTTTTTGGCACTTTCAGTAGAAGTAATTAAACTTTGGCAACTTTTGAATTTCACTGTTTCTCTTCTCTTCCAGATGGAGGGGGCGGGAAGAGAGGGAAGGGGTCAGGCTCCCCTCTGAGAGATTCGATTCAATACTTCTGTCTGAAAACAAAGATTTCTTTTCTGGTAGGTAGTGTGCCAGCTTTATCCCATTTCAGGCAGAATGCCCATCTAGAAAGTAAAAGGGATGGATATTAGAAAATAGGGGGCTAAGGGGGACAGGAAGCCTGTGTCATTGCACTAACCTTTAGCCAAGTGCCCAGATGCTTGAGATGGTAGGGGGCGGGGGTGTGGGGAACAACAATATTAAGAGGAATCTTAAATGGATTTTATATCCTTATTCTTAAGTCAGTTTCCAACTATTTCCTAAACAACCACATAATTAACACATAAAAGTGAGATGTTAAAACATGCATCAGATACTGGGTCCTTTGGAGGGGAAGGTTTGTGTTGTAACCAAGGAAATCTGAATTTGGAAAGATACAGTCCAGAAGGTCTACAAAGTAATGTGGAGAAATGGATGATGGTGGGGGATGGCTAAATGTTGAGGGGTAAGAAATCTTGAGTTCTGAGAATAAAAGGAAACCACCTCCTCTGGCTGAGAGATGCCAGAAATTGCCCACATTCAGAATGCATGTGGACCAATACTGCCTTTATCCTATCATTGCTTTCTTCTGAACTGTAATTGAACCATTTGGCATGGGGCTTCATCTACAATTGCAAGTCAAGTCTACACCCAACAACATGTCAGCAGCCAGGGTGAGAGGCCTGATTTAAGAGGTGTCACTATTATGAATGAGACCTCCACTGGTCCACTGCTGGAGGAACACAGATCCTAGCATTCCACTTAGAAGGAAGGCTTTTGATATCGACTTCAAGAGATCAAAGCCATAGCTGAAGTCTCTCTTCCCTCCAAGCCTTATTTTTTTCTGCTAATGCTTTTAACTTCAGAATTCTCATTTTCATATTCCAAAGACGTTTCCCTAGTTAAGTCCTGATCTTTAAATAATTTCCCATCTTGTTTATAAAATAGAAACAACCCATTCCACTAAATCATAATTATGATTTCACAATCCTATTGTTAACTAGATCATTCATGTATTCCTCACTAGCTGGGTATTTTTCAACCCACTACAAATCTTTTCGTATGCAAGGACTATATTAAACTTGACTGGAATTTGCCCAGAAATAGCCCTAACTAACTGACAGCATACCTGGGTTTCATCTCAAATCAAGGCTGTATATTTTGTGACTCTATTTCCCTCTCTTTGAAATGAGGATGAATTTCTTTTTATCAATTTCAATTTCATTGTTACTTGGTGAGCATACAACATCACAGCATCAACAGCTACCATTTATTGAGTAGTTAATCTCTCAATGTACTAGAAGTTGTGCTGAGCACTTCACGTAATAATCAAATCTAATCCTCAGAATAATTCTATGAAGGAGGAAATTTTTATACCAACCCCACTCCCACCATACAACATGTGATGAATTAAGAATCTAAAACTCAGACTCATTGTTAGTGAGGATTAGATTTTCTCTGGCAAAGGGATTACTAATGCTTGCCAATGTCGTGATATTTTAAAGAAAGAAAAATGGAGAGTAAAGAAGAGAGGGAAGAAGAAAGGGAAGAGGAAAAAGAAAAGAAAGAAAGAGAAGGGAAAGAAGAAGGAAGGGAGGGAGAGAACAATTAAGATACAGTAACTACTGATGGCTTATATTTAATGGAGATAATTCATAAATTTTGCTTGTCCAGGTAATCTAGTGGAAAGAGTATATGGTTAAGCCAAGAGCCCTGGGATCTGGCCTCAAACAATTTATTAAGCAGCTATGTGACTTTAGGCACATATTTATCCTGTCTGTCTCCATTTCTTTATCTATTGGATGGAGTAATGATGATAATTTGCCTAAACCACCTCAAAATAAAATAACATGGTGAATATAGAAGGGATTGGAGAAATTAAAACTGCTATTAAATGGAATGTGTCATTACTGAGGATTCTGCCTAAAACACCAGTTAAAAACGTCTCCTTTTCTTTCCCTTTGTCCTCCATAGCTCACCACTTGTGCCTTCTTCTTAAGTCTTAATTGGCTGGGCAGAAGCTTATCTGTCTTTTCAGAAACAGAAAGAACCTTACTCGTATCTTTTTAAAAAAGCATTTGTTTATCTGTTTATTCATTTATTAATTCATTGAATTAATTAACCCACTTGCACCCAACAGAAGCTTGATCAAAGCTTAGCTTTAAAGCCACATTTTTGTGAAATTCACTACCTATTTTCAAGACCTCAATTCTAATTCAGAATATTTCCAACAAATGCAAAATAATTGTATTATTAGTATAAGCAACACATACTTGGAAAGGTAAATATATTAAAAACAAAGTCAAATAATGTATTGCCCAGTCACTTTCAAAATTCCAGGCTGAGGATTTGATAACCCTTAACTGAGTGCTAGCTAAGTCTACAGAAGAATCTTCTCATTATTAATTAAATCTATGTAACTTTCTTTTGACAAAATGACTACCAGAGAGCATACTTTTTCCCTATTATTCCCACCATTTCCTTGACAACAAACAACTCTGTCAACTGTTCCCTCCATAAGGGTCTGGCTGGAAGTTAATGCAAATAAGATGAAATGGAATGGTTGCAGTTACCACCAATCCTAGGGTATTTTAATATCCAGGAGGGTTTTGCAAAAAGAGAAGTTTGAAGAAATTACAAATGGAGCCCAGCAGGCTCTGGACCCTTGGAAAATGTCAGAGCTTACAGGGAATACTGTTACAGACTTCCTCCTCTGCCTTGATTAAATTAGTATCAGCTCTCCCAGGTATACTGCAGTAGTGTTTAGAATGTTTAAGATTTAAAATGCTTTGGAACTGTGCCACTGAAAGAACAAGTCAGCCCATTTTTCTCTCTTTTATATTCTCTGATTTTGATACTGCTTAGCCATAAAAGCAGATTCGGGAATTGTTTTGGAGGTGAGGGTAAGGGTAGGAAAAGCAGGGCTCCCCACCCAGATTCTTTCTGATTCAGCTTCCTTTCCTAGGAACCAGTTTCCAGGCTACAGGGATCTCTCCTAATCAATCCACCTAAGGTGCCTTCTGTAGGAAAACAAAAAGCAGATTGTTTGGGTGACAGAGTAAACCCATCCCATACTGCCAGGGGATGACTATTCCTAGAACACAGTCTAGGAGGTATACACAGAGGTGGCTTGACAGGTAGGTTGCCACATGGCAGTTATCAGAAAACCACATCCCGTATAGTCCTTTTGCAAGACCTTTAAGATATTTTGGGCACTTGATGTAGTGGTATTTTGGTACCATGAACATGTACCACCTGTCTGATAATATTTGTGTTTCTGGAAGATTCCATGTGTGCACAAGGTTTAGTGCACAGTGGAGAAACTCAAGTCTAATATTTGAAAGAAATAACCATGTCAATGTAATCACTTTCCAGACTAAGCATTCATAGCTCCAGCAGTGACAGGCAACATACTTTCAAAAGTCCTCAGAAATGTGTTAACTTCCTCCGAACCTATTTCAGTTAGCTGACATCCTTCTCCAAGGATGTTGCCCAGAACTGGGCACATTCTATACATGCTCAGATCAGTAATAACTGGAAAGAAGCAATTACTTTTTACTATTCAAAAATTAATTCAAAATTAAATCTAAGATGGCAAATCAAGTGTACCATAATTTTGGGACTAAATGTACTGCCAATTTAAGTAGGCTGTATATAATTCAAGGGGTATTTAATAAGTTTTGTTTTCAATATGGGGGTTTTTATTATTAGAAGCACATTCTTCTATACATCAAGCACCTACTGAGCCCTAATTATGATATGTAAAAAAGGTGTAGGATATTGTCACCCAATTTGTTATTAACCAATTGGATCTCAAGCAAAAAAATAGTGTTTACCACAACTGTTCAGAATGAGCATAGAATTGGGGCTGATGATTATCCAAATGGGAATCCATCTGAGGAATCGGGGAATAAGAATTTGGATATTGGGTAAGAATGAAAATTACTGGCAAGGATAGGAATTGATAGCTTACTGGGCCATTGTGGAACATGATATTATCACCGCTTATAGGCACTTACCCAAAGAAACACCAATTTGCCATGCCATTATATATGCATTCACTTATCGATCCATTCATCCACTTCCCATTGCACTTCCCAAAGGATTTGAGGTACTTGAAAGAATGCATAACATAAGTAAATTTAAAACATAAAAATAAAGCCAGAGACAATGTCATTTAAAATAAGAGATTGAGACCAGGAAGAAAAAGCATAAATATAGAGACAATTTGACCCTGCATGGTTAACATGTTCAATGGCAAATTTGTCCCTGGGCTTTATGGCAGCTAAAAAAAAAATGGAAACATCTTCAGTTACATGATTCACACAGTCTTTAAAGAGAAAATACAACAAATTTTTAGGGGAAAAACATATGACTATAGAATATTCTCATGGCAGGTAAAACAACATAATACTAGTAAGTGTCCCTTTGTAACTTTTGTAACTCTGGCTTAAAAACTTAGTAAACTTTTAAAAAACTAAGTAAAACTAGGTAAAATAAAGTCAGCTCGGTGTGAAACTAATCACTATTCTCCCGACAGGATTATCAACGTCTCACAAGAATCATTCTGAGACATAGACTCTTAGCATTGAAAGAGACATTAAAGTTAATAATCTATTTCAACCTCACCCTCAAAGCTGGAATATTATACACTCTCCCATTACACTTGAGAAATGGCTAATCACTCTGGAAAACATTCAGTAGCCCACTGCTTTCTCAGGTCAGTCTGCTCCATTTTCAGATTTCTTGTTAATATCAAATTCATCCTTACATTGACAATTCAACAGTTGACCCTAATTTCACTGTCTACAGAACAACAAAATCTAAGTTGCATTTCTATATTTAAATATCATTAACATATCTACAGTAAGTCATCTCAATGTAATATCCTTAGTATAGGTGCAGCCATGTTTTAAATTGACCCATTGCTTGTGCAGACAGTCACAGCAGTGTTCCCAACAGTGGGAAGCATACATACAGAAGTAAAAGCTCTAAAAGAGTGATCCCTAACTCTGGCAGAAGTCATTAAGGACACTACTTCTGCCCTAGATGGAATACAAAATGGTGTCACTTGTTGACAAGAATAGTGATGGACAATTGCATTGCTCTACATCCCTTTTGGGCTAGTCGTGGTGGCTTCTATGTCATTTTTAATATTGATTTTGCACTTGGATCAAACAGGCAAAGTAGAACTGGCTATATTTTGCATTAAGGAAAAAGCTACTTAGATCACTAAGGTCAATCTCCATAGCCTCTGGAATTTGTTGTCTTGGCAATTGGCGTTCTTGGGTCCAAAGCATCTTACGTGAACTATTAATTGTCATTTTAGTCATAGTGTCAAGACTATGGTCCATTGCACTCTACTCAGAGTTTTAAATGCTTCTTCACAGCTGCTCCCTTATTATATGATTACCATGATGATATAACTAAAAAGTCAGTATTTCATAATACAGTTGACTATGGTGACAATCCTCTAGCAGTGAATATCTGAAACCATGGCCTTCTCTGAATGGGTTAAACACCCCTCATAAGCAAGAAAATGACAAAACCAAGGACCAAAGAGACCAAATTTACAGACAACAGCCAGACAAAATATGATGATAGAACTCTGACCCACATAGGAAGTCCAGAAAGCTATACCACAACCTCCAAATCAGTCAGCTCAGGATGATCAGGACTATCAACAATGGCAAACTTTCTTATCTTTGTTCCCTCTCTTTTATCTGTTTCAGAACAGACTAGAGAAAGCCAAAATCCTCCCCAAACCAATCACATAAGTTGCCCCACTTCTATCTATCCAGTTTCCCCTTGCCAACAATCTCCAATTAGATCACCTGAAGTTTTCCCCTTTTTTTCACTTATAAAGCTTTCCAAATACCTAACTGCTTCTGCATCTCTGCCAAACACAAGTGATAGTAGCTGACTCCCTTGATAAAGCAAGCTCTGAGTAAGTAGGCTCTGTCTATTCTCATTTGAATATTCTTCATTTATTTCCACAAGACATGAATACTGCAAGTCCATCTTAACTATCCTCTTGAGTTCTATTACGTACTGTATTTAGGAGCTATATGCTTAGGAGTTTAACTGCTTTATGGCAAGAGATGTCTTATACTTCTAGTGGTACACTGGTAAACTGGGGTTAGGGGTGATGAAGGGAAAGGGCAGGAAAAGCCCTGATTTGCAGAATTTTCCAATTTCTCTGGTATAAATACCCATACCATGGCCAATTTCAAGCTACCACTATTTTAAAAGCCAGCTCGTAAAATTTCTGAATATTGAACCATCAGTTCCTATAAGCTGGCGTAAGAAGCTCTAGCACATCACTGTATATTTACTTTTTCCAAAGCTTTTAACACTATTTCTGACAGAGTAAATAAAGAGTAAATGCTCAAAAACAGATAGACAGAAAATAGTAGGTAAATAGATGGATAGCTGGCTAGCTAGCTAGATAAGAGAGATGGATGGATGGATGGATGGATGGATGGATGGATGGATGGATATAGGTAGATTAGATAGACAGATCAATAGATCAATCTATCATGGATATATGGACAAAGAAACAAATGGACTGATGGATAAATCCATCTTGCTGTGGAAAATGAGAACAACCTGTCTAATTTATTCCATGTGAATTTATTAAATATCTGTCACATGTTGGTCCATATTTTAGGTACACAATACTAGTGAGCCAAACAGATAAATATCCCTGCTCTTGAAGACTAAATGTTAATAGGAGTACAGGCAATAAATAATAAATATAGTACATAAATTTTATGATATTAGAAGTTGATGAGTAATAGGGGAAAAAGAAGAAGGAAAGCAAGGTAAATAGATTCAGAAACTCTGAAGGTGAAGATGAGATATTTATAGTTTTTGACAGAACAGTCAAGGTAGGATTTAGAAACTCTGAAGGTGAAGGTAAGATATTTATGGTTTTTGACAAGACAGTCACGGTAGGCTACATTAGGAGGATGGATGAAAGTTGAATGATGACTTGAATATAGTTGTTAGCCAAGTATATCTCTGGGGAAAAAAAAAGAGAGAGAAGTCCACCAGGTGTTTTCCAGGAATTGCAGAAAACCACAGTGTCTGGAGCAGTGAATGAGGAGATGTACTGGAAGAAGATCGCTTAGGTGTGGGGCCCAAGGGCCCTCTGAAGGACTGCTGAAAAATCAGTTCTCAGAAAGAAGATTAATAGGAGAAAAGGCACACAAAGTTATTTAACCTATATATACATAAGAGCCTTCTGAATGGAGATCCAACCCCCAGTGAGGAACAGAAGTTCATATATCATCTTAAGGTTACAGAAAGAATGGGGACTTGGATCCTAGCAAAAGAGGATATGGGAGGGGGTGGCGAAGAGGACTTTTGTTGAAGGGCAATAAATGATCATTAGGGAGGGCTCATGCAATCCTCCCACCTCGACCTCCTGAGTAGCTGGGACTACAGGCACACGCCAACATGTCCAGCTAATTTTTTCTTTTGTGTGTATGTGTGTAGAGATGGAGTCTTCCTGTGTTGTCCAGGCTGGTCTCAAACTCCTAGGCTCAAGCAATTCTCCTGCATCAGCTTCCCAGAGTGCTGGATTTACAAGTGTGAGCCACCACACCCAACCCCCTAAGATTGGTCTTTTGAGATGCTTTTCAGACTTTGGCTTTCTGGGGACTAACTAACTCCACAGGGATGCATGATTCATAGCTAACTCATTCTGTGGCTCCCACCCAGAGACCGACTCAGTGCACTAGGATCATTTTCCAGACTCTATGAATTCATCTCCAACCAATCAGCAGTGCCCATTCCCTTGCCCCCTGCCCATCAAATTATCCATAAAAACCTTAGCCTCTGAGTTCTTGGGGAGGCTGATTTGAGTAAAAAACTCATATCTATCACTCCGCTAGCCCTGCATTAATTAAACTTTTTCTACTGCAATACTACTATCTCAGTAAATTGGTTTTATCTGTGCAGTGGGAAAGAAGAACATGTCAGGTGATTATAGTCCAAGAAAGAGGTGATGGTCCCTCAGACTCAGAAAGGAATGAGAGAGACAGGAGAGGGTGAGAGGAGATAATAGTTGATAATATAATGACATGGTGAAAAGTGGTAAGATTTTTGATTTACTAGAAATGTAAAGACAAGAGAATTTGAATTTTGATCAATATAAGAGAGCAAGAAATTCATAGTTGAAGCCAAGGATTCTGAACTGAATAACCAGAAAGACAGAACTGACAGCAACTGAACTTTTAAAAGGTTAAGGAGTAGGTTTTGGAGAATTTATAAGCAGGTGAGAGGAGCAAGTTTTGAAGCATTTGGTGTGGAACATGATGAGTTAAAGATGTCTGTTAGACTTTTAGGTCTGGGGTTAGAAAAAAAGATCCAAGCTGGAGATATAAATTTGGAATTAACAAGATAGAGGTGACACTTTAAGTTATGAGACTGGTTGAGATTACCAAGGGATTAAGGTTATAGAGAGAGGAGAAGATGACCAAGAACAGAGCTTCACGGCATTTCAACATTAAAAGTTCAGGGACAAGAAATGGAACCAGCAAATGACATCAAACAATAGCAGCCAGAGAGGTCAGGGAAACTCAAGAAAAGGTGGTGTCCTGAAAGCCAAGTGAGGAAAGAAGAAAGTGACCAACTTAGTCAAATGCTGCTGATGGATCAAGTGAAACAAGGACGAAAGACATACCAACTCATTTAGCAAAGTGGAGACAATTAGTGAGGTTGGCAACAGTAATGTTATTCAAGTAGGCATAAAGGCCTCAATAGAGTGGGTTTAAAGAAAACGAGAGTGAGTATACAAGTAGTGAAATCAGATAAATAGTCATGTGTGTATAAAATGAAATACTCTGCAGTATTCAGGTGTATTTGCTGATGTAAAACTATGTTCCAATGTATGATTGAGATTTTAAAAAATAGATTTTACTTTGTACTATTCTGGTAGTGAAGGAATATCATGTAGCATACTAACATGCTCTCAAATTACAAATTTTAACATTGAAATAAATTTGGAAAACAGAACAAAACAAAGATATTTAAAGGCACTGAAGAGTGACCAATAGCCTTATATCATTATAAAAAGCATTCCCACAAAGAAAACTCCAGGTTAGACAGCTTCACTGGTGAATTCTAGTAAATATTTCAGAGATGAATTATAGCAATATTCTTCAGTTTACTTAATAAAAAATAGAAGAAAAGAACATTTTTTATTACATTTTCTGAAACTAACATTACTTTGTGAGCACAACCTGACAAAGATGTTACCAAAAAAAGAAAATTACAAATAGACCTCAAAATCAAAGATGCACTAATCTTTAACAAAATATTTGCAAAATGACTCTAGCAACATATGAAAAGATAATAAATCATGAACAAATATGTTTTATCCCCGGGATGCAAGCTTGGTTTAAAAATCAATCAGGGCTAGACGCAGTGGCTCACTCCTGTAATCCTAGAACTTTGGGAGGCCTAGGTGGGAGGATCACTTGAGGCCAGCCTGGGTAACATAGTAAGACTTCATCTCTATTAAAATAAAAAAAATAGCCAGACATGTGTGATGGAGTGCACCTATATCCCATCTACTCAGGAGGCCAAGGCAAGAAAATTACTTAAGCCCAGGAGTTCTAGGCTGCAGTGAGCTATGATTGCACTGTTGCACTCCAACCTGAGTGACAGAGCAAAACTCTGTTTCAAAATTAAAAAAAAAAAAATCAATCAGTGTCACACAAGATAAAGAATCTCAAAAACATCAAGAAGAAGCAGAAACAGGAACACATATTGTATGATTCCATTTATATGAAATTCTAGAAATGAAAAATATAATCTGCAGTAACAAAAGATTAGTCGTTCCCTAGAGCTACAGATGAAGGATTAACTACAAAGTAGTAGGAGGGAACTTCTTGGAATATTGGAAATATTTTGTATTTTGATTATGGTTAGTGATTTCAGTGGTATATACTTTGACAAAACTTATCAAACAGTACATGTAAAGTGGGTGAATTTTACTGTATATAAATTATATGCCAGCGAAGTTGATATAACAATTAGTCCATGCAATTTATCTATTAACTGAATCATGCAGAAAAATAATGAGTCTCATGCCAGGTTTCTCAATTCCCAGCTGTTGAAGAAGACATTTAAAAATATGAAAAACAGAAAACTTAGAACATACTCTTTAGTGTTAAGCTGGAGATATCCATATGCTCTCATGGTTAAATAACTGCTGTCTGTATCTCCTATCTCCTAGGTCTGTCTGATGAGACACATCAGTAGCAAGGAGCACACCAGATCCACAGATCTTGGTTTCTAAGTTCTTTTCTCAAAAAAAAAAAAAAATCTAAGGTTCCTTGGGACAAGAGCTGATTCCACAAGTTGGACAGAGAAAGTACAAGGTTAGTAAGAAACATTTTGTGGTGCCAAGAACTAAAAAAGTGCTCACAGAATAAGGACATGTCAAAAGGAAAAAGCAGCAGCATGAAGGGCCTCCCTGTGACCACACTGGGGCAACTTGAACAATAAAATAAATAATGACACTGGTAGACTATAACCCATTGATGAATCCATGAATCCGTACTGCAGAGAGAGAGCAAGAGAGAGGATAGAGATAAAGGGAGAGGTTTTCCCTTGTCATAGAATGATAACTAGTAAATATGAAGTAACGATGAAGTTAGAAAATCCCAAGGGGATGTTAAACCAGTGGTTTTGTTAGAGCAGGTAGCTAGGCAGATATAAGCAGGGCAGGAGATGGTCCCGCACCCCAGGAATGTCAAGCAACCATTGGGTGTTGGTCTGGCATGTGTTATACTGTCTCTCTAAAATAATAATTAGTTACAGCTGAC